>NT_187383.1:496171-680465 GCF_000001405.40 Homo sapiens | reverse complement strand
GAATTCCATTGATAACCATATGGAATCTCCCTTGTATGTGACAAGTTGCTTTGATCCTGTTCCTTTCAAAATTCTAATGTGTCTCATTGTAGGTCTTTTGCAAATTATCCAACTTGGAGTTCTTTGAGCCTCTTGGATTTGTATGTCCATTTCCTTCTTTAAGTTTGAGAAGTTTTTGGTCATTACTTTTTTAACTGGCTCTCTGCCCCTTTATTTTTCTCTTCTCCTTCTGGCACTTTCATAATGCATACATTGGTCTGCTTGATGGCATCCTGTAAGTCTCTTAGGCTGTCTTCACTCTTCACTCCTTTTCCCTTTTGCTCCTCTGACTCCATAATTTCAAATGACTAGTCTTCCGTTTCACTGATTCTTTCTTCTGCTTGATGTTATTGAAACTGCCTTTGCAAAAATTATAACTGAAGAAATTATGACAGCAAAAGATATCAGACTTAATCAACTGCATCTTGCTTCTAGCATTTAAACTGCCCTTGTTCATTCCTGGCAGTAGGATGAACTAATTTTGGTAAGGTATTCAGTTCATGGTTTGACTCTCAAACCAAGTTGATAATAGCCATTTCCCAAAAAGATCCCCTTCTTGCCTGGAACCAGTCTGCCTTTGCGGGATAAACAAATTAGCTATAACATTAGAAATTACAGTTGAGGGGTTATGCAGCCTCTGGCTCCAAGAGTCTGAACCTCTCCAAATTGCTCCTGGGGATAACATCACTATTGTAAAACCTAAAATCAGTGCTTGAGATATTTTGCAGACCCTGCACTGGATGAACCAGCTGACACCACCCAGACTGGTAATATGGCTCAACTAGTTCTGCCACCCCACCCACAAACAGAAGACAGCAAGAAAACATCATCACTTCAACCCCGTATGATTTCATCTCCAGCCTGATGAATAAGCAGTTCCCACTTCCCAAGCCCCTACCTGCCAAATTATCTTTAAAAGTTCTGATCCCCGAATGCTCAGGGAGACTGATTTGAGTAATAATAAAACTCTGATCTCCCGCACAGCCAGCTCTGCCTGAATTACTCTTTCTCCATTGCAATTCCCCTGTCTTGATAAATCAGCTCTGTCTAAGCAGGGCACGAGGTGAACCCATTGGGCAGTTACACAGTCTATTGGTGATTTCCGATAGTGAATTTTTCAATTGAGCTATTGTATGACTTAGCTCCAGAGTTTCTGTATGGTTCCTTTTTGTTTTTTTTTTTTTTTTAAGTTTCTATCTCGGTTAATATTTTCATTTTGTTCATGAATTATTTCCTGCTTTCACTTAGTTGTCTATTTCTGTTGTCACTGGGCTTCATTAAGAGAGTTAATTTGTATTCTTTGTCAGGTAACTCATTTACCTATTTCTTTAGGGTTGGTTTCTGGAGATTTATTTTGCTCCTTTAATTTAGTCATCAGGTTTCTCTCTTTCTTCTTATGTCTTGTTATTTTTTATTTTTTATTTATTTTTGCCAATATTTGGGCGTTTGAAAAAACTGCCACTTCTCCCAGTTTTTATCAGCTGGCTTCATACGGAAGACCTTCATACCTGAATCAGCATGGCTATAGGTTCCAGCAGCCTCTCAAACTCTTTCTGGGAATGCATCTTCTTTGGGTTTATACATTGCAACATCCCAAGTAGAGGTTTGCCAGTTTCTTTTTCTGGAGCTGTTGCTCCTTCTGGTATCTGTCTGTGGTACTGCAGGTTCCCTGGTGCTGCATCATCTCTGACCTCTCCTTTATTCCCAGTGGCTCCCATGCATCCAAAGTATGCCAGTTGGGCGTCAAGTTAGAGAGAGTGAGAGAGCTTCAGGTAACCTCATAAAACTATTCCGTTTCAGTCTTCTCTTTCCCTGCTAACGGAGAAGCTGCAAGTTGAGTGCTTCCCAGCCAAACCAACCTGTTTGAGCTTGGGGAAGGGGTATCATCAGTATAATGCAACAGCTTTTCTTATCTGTTCAATGCCACTATTCTTGGCTTTGCACTTGTCTGTACTACTACAACTTCTTAATGGTTTATGGAACTCCATAAAGGCTTTTAGACCATATATTGTTTTTCAGTTGGTATCTTTATGGAGAATCAAGGTTTGGAGCTTCCCATTCCACCATCTGGCTGACATCACTCTGTTTATATTATTTTTTATTTTTATTATATTTTATTTTCTTGAGACAGGATCTTGCTCTGTCAGCCAGGCTAGAGTGCAGCCTCGAACTCCTGATCTCAAGGGACCTCCTCCCTCAGGCTACTGAGTACTTGGACTATAGGCACACACCACATACCAGGCTAATTTCTTATTTTCTTGTGAAGATGGGGTTTCACTCTGTTGCCCAAGTTGGTCTCAACTCTTGGGCTCAAGCAATCCTTCTGCCTTGGCCTCCCAAAGTGCTAGGATTAAAGGTGTGAGCCCACCATGTACTGCCTGTTATATTTAGTAGAAAATATATCTAAAAATATACTTACGTACTATATTGAATCCACTACCCAGAGCTTAACTGAACTATTTGTGTGACTCATTCTGTTTTTTTATTTTTTGCTTTTTACTTATTACAATGAACTACAAGTATGGATATATTAATATTAATTAATATAAAATATACTGGAATATTTTGTATTTTTTTTTCTTTTTTCTTCAACAAAAGCAGAAACTTAAATACACTGAAATCTTAAATGACCCTTGAATGTTTCTAGGACTGACCCTGGAACAAAATTTTTTATGTTGTTATTACATTGTTCTTTTCATGTTAAAATCATTTGTTTTTTTTCATATAGTGCGTCAAAGAAGAATTGTTAATATAGCCCTTACCAGCCATATGCTAAGTGCCACAGGTGTTTCGGTCTCTCTCCATTCTTGTACCTCACTTAGTCTTTTTTTTTTTTCTTTTGGAGGTGTAGCCTCAGTCTTTCACCCAGTCTGGAGTGTGGTGGCACGATCTCAGCTCACTGCAACCTCTGCCTCCCGGGTTCAAGTGATTCTCCTCCCTCAGCCTCCTGAGTACCTGGGACCACAGTTGTGTGCCACCATGCCGACCTAATTTTTGTATTTTTAGTAGAGATGGGGTTTCATTATGTTGGCCAGGCTGGTCTTGAACTCCTGACCTCATGTAATCCACCCTCCTCAGCCTCCCAAAGCGCTGGGATTACAGACATGAACCACTGCGCCTGGACTACCTCAATCTGTCTTTTAAATTGGCTATGTAAGGGGAGCATCTTGTGCTTGTTAAGTCTTTGTTTTCTGGCCTATTTATATAATGAACATTTCTGAGTTGTGTGTATATATTAAATTATTTGAGAGTATATAGTTAATGTACTAAATAGATCTATGTGTTTTCATACATGTCACTATAAAAAGACCATTTGCACATATTTGTTCTATCAAATGCTTACTTTTCTTCATGAACCACCTAGATTTGCTTTTCTGATGTGTAGTGTATGTGAAAATATTTCTTTGTGAATTTTTTTTTTATTGTGTGCCCCTGCAGGTGGTATGCTTAATAATGCCATAGTCTCTATAAGGAACGTATGCATTAGTCTGCTGGCAGGAATTGTTTTGGGATTTTTTGTTCGATATTTTCCAAGTGAAGACCAAGTAAATACAAAATCTATTTTATAGAAGTATAGTATTAGACATTTTTTTCAAAATATTAAACTTTGGTAAGATCCATGAAATTTAATACTTAACTCTATTTTTCTAAAACTAGCCTCCAATGCCTACTCTGTATTTAAAACTGAGCACAGCAGTGATTGATACAGGTCAATGGCTTTGATTAAAGTCTCTGCTTCCTGATTTGGCAAATAAGGAATGTCAAAAAATATACTTGATGCAGAGTATCCCTCTGAATTATACTTTCCCTTTCTCTACTAAATTGCCTATTGATGTTTGATAATTTCCCCTTAAACATTTTAGGGGGAGATAGGTTCCCATTTATTTCTGCATATTTTCTGACTGAAATTCACTCCTGCTATCCTTTGACAAAGGCAACACTCAAACTTAGCCATTTCCTGCCTTAAAGGAAAACATGACATTACTTTTGTATTTCTGTAATTTCCATCCAAATTTAGCTGTAGCATATTGACCAAAGAGTAATTCAAATATTTTTTAAGAATTCATTGGATATGTTATATGAAACTGGAGATTTTATGGGTCTCTTTTCTTCTTCACTTAAAGTAATACTTAAACCATTTTACTGATACTAGTATCAGAGATGTGGCAGAAGATGAAACGTTACTAATTGGAAATTTTGTTACTTGGTAGTAAGTCTACTAAAATGTATGGTGAGAAAGAAAATCAAAATTTTAGACATTTAATATAACATTTAAAGACATAATATCAAAAGGTCAAACATATATAATAGATAATGTCAAATCTTGTATTATATATTTAATATAAACTAATTTCTAAATATCTATCTAATTCTAGAAAAAACTTACATTGAAGAGAGGATTCCTTGTTTTGACTACGTGTGTTTCTGCTGTCTTAGGCAGCCAACGTATTGGTTTACATGGATCTGGAGGATTATGCACACTAGTGTTGAGTTTCATTGCAGGGGCAAAATGGTCCCAAGAAAAGGTGAATATTTTTAATATGCTATATTTTAAAAGCTAAGACAACTGAATTTTTTACATATATTTAGGAAATCCCCTCATTCTGGTTGGAAAATATTCCAAAAGATTTGCTATCCTCAAGAAAGTGTATGAATCAATTGAGGAAATAAAATATTTAGGAAAAGCAGCTGGATATATACTAATATGGAATCAGAAGTTGAGTTAATCACATCAGGTTTCTCTTTTTCCCAAGTTTTATATAATATTATTATATTACTTATATCAATCTAATTATTTTATTCATTGAAATTTTAATTATACAATTAATCCATGAAGAATGTTTGTAAAAGGCCAGGCACGGTGGCTCATGCCTGTAATCCCAGAACTTTGGGAGGTCGAGGTGGACAGATCACCTGGGGTCAGGAGTTTGAGACCAGCGTGGCCAACATAGTGAAACCCCATCTCTACTAAAAATACAAAAATTAGCTGGGCATGGTGGCGTGGTGGTGGGCACCTATAATTCCAGCTACTCAGGAGGCTGAGGCAGGAGAATTGCTTGAACCCAGGAGGCGGAGGCTGCAGTGAGCTGAGATCATGCCATTGCACTCCAGCCTGGGCAACAAGTGCAAAACTCCATCACACACACACAAAATAATAATAAACAAACAAATAATAAAAATAGAAATGCTTGTAAAAGAATAAAACATATAGAATAAAATGTAAAAGATTTCTTTATTCCCCACCACTGTCAAATATCGAACCCCTTTACATTTTTTTAAGTAACCAGTATTCTATTTGTAGACATTAAGATCGTTTCCACTTTTTGTTATTTACAAACAGTGCTGTCATAAACAGTGTTGTTCATGTCTTTTTTTTTTTTGAGACAGTTTCACTCTTGTCACCCAGGCTGGAGTGCAGTAGCATAACCTTGGCTCACTGCAACCTCCACCTCCTGGATTCAAGTGATTCTTCTTTTTCAGCCTCCCTAGTAGCTGGGATTACAGGCGCGCACCACCACGCCCAGCAAATTTTTGTATTTTTAGTAGAGACGGGATTTCACCATGTTGGCCAGGCAGGTCTTGAACTCCTGACCTCAGGTGATACTCCTGCCTCGGCCTCCCAAAGTGTTGGGATTACAGGTACATCTGTAGGAATAGAGTCCTAGAAATGATTTTTTTTTTTTGAGACAGAGTCTCTATCTATGTTGCCCAGGCTGGTCTCAAAATCCTGAGCTCAAGGGATCCTCCCAACTTGACAATGCAAAGTGCTAGGATTACAAGCATGAGCTACCACACCTGGCTGGAAATGATCTGTGTTTTATTTTGATGGACACTGCTAAATTATCCCTTCAAAAATTTTGGTTATTTACACTCTGCCAACAGTGCACAACAATATCTAATACCTTAACTCATCAACAGCACTTGATATTATCACTAGTTCTATTCTTTTTACTATTAAATGACCTCACCATCCAATTCTTATAGTTTCTAACAATTATGTGATGTTGTTATTCTTTATTTACATTTCTCTGATTAGTAGTATAGTAAGCTTCTCTTCATATATTCTTTTTAAAATACCTATGATCTTCTTTGACCATTTTTATTGGGTTATTTATTTTTTTGTTTCTAATTTATAGTTTCTCTTAGTGTTAGGGCTACTGATCCTTTGTTATGTATATATTGCATATAATTTTGCTTGTTTATGGTGTCTGGTGTATGAAAGTAAAATTTCCTACGACCAAACCTATTGGGTTTTCCTTTTTTGATTTTGGATTCTGCATCTCATTTAAGAAGGACTCTCTCACTGAAGATTATAACATATAAACATTACAAAGATATACTATTTTGTGTATTATCATTTAATATTTTGGTAGTTTTTGTTTGTTTAATTTGTTCTTTCATTTAGTCTTTTATTCTATCTGGAATTTATCTTTGTGAATTTTGTGAGGTAAGGTTATACATATATACATATGTGTATCTTACAAACTATATATATATACACACACACACATACAGTTTGTAAGTTAACTGAACAGAGATAGAACTACATCATGCCTGATGTGTGTGTGTATATATATATGTATATATATATATACACACACACATAAATATACATACATATTCAGACACACATATATACTTGCATGTGATGAATATGTACATACGTATATATGCACATAAACTAGACAGTCATTTTTTGCCAAATTATTTATTGACCAATTCATTAATAATTCAGTTTTTTAACATGAACTAAATTCTCCCATATATATTAATTCTGAAGTCTATTTAATCCTACTTCTCTATTTCTATGCCAACACCACTGTTTTAAATCACTGCACTTTTATGTGTCAAAATCTAATATAGATTTTACTTCTTTTTAAAGTATTTTTTGGCTGTTCCTACACATATTCTTTCTTAGATAAATTTTAGAATCAGCTTGAGAAATTCCCTAATCAAAAATCATAGTGGCATTTTGCTTAGTATTCTTATATAATCATAATTATAAAAGAAATGAATGAAATGCAAATCAATAAATAAAATTAAAACTGCTAGAATTTTTTTAAATGGTAAAAGACACAGAACTAAAACAAGTTTTAAAGATTAAAAGTAACAAACAGGATAATTATGCTGTAAAGAGTAGTAACATCGTTTTTCTTTGTTTTTCTTTTTTTAAACTATAATAAGTGGGGATCAGAAAACACAGTCATAAGGGAAATAGTTATAAAGATAGTTTATGCCTCAAGGAAGAGACATCAAAGTTCTTATGTATCTTCTGTTTAAAAAAAAAATTAAACCCAGACTGAGACTGAAATCTCTTCATCCAAATTCCTGGAGAAGAGCCAGAGTAATGTAGGCCAATAGGGGGCCTTTCCTGTAACCTTTTAATTGGGGAAGTAGTACTGGGAGGCATTCGTTTTCAGAAAGGGAAGCCGGATAGGCAGCTAAATGAGAATCTAATATATGTTTTCTTTTGTTTTGAGGAAAAAGTAACTTTAAAGTATTCAACACGGGTTCTTTGGAAGCAGGCCTAGTAGACTTCCAAATTGTTTTTCCTAGTAGTATATGCTATATATATCAGGATTCACTTTAATGGGATTGAGTTCCAGGATGGTTGTTAGTGGAAGGCTTCCCAACCTCCTTCTGAGATCCCAAATGTTTGCATGAACTGGGTATGTTCTCATCAGGCATGATGTAGTTCTATCTCTGTTCAGTTAACTTAGAGACAAAATCTAGAACTCATACGAAACATGGCTAGAACCCTAAGGACATCACTTATTCTGTGACAAAATGGCCAAATAGTATTATTTTATTGCTTTGTAAGTTTCTTTTAATCAAATTCTACCTAAGTGTTTAAGTAAAACTATTGAAGTGCTCAGTTTTTATTAATTAAGTTTAACATTTTTATTAAAATAAAGTGTATTAAATTTATTAAATGTTAAGTGACTTTAGGCCAGGCATGGTGGCTCATGCCTATAATGCCAGTGCTTTGGGAGGCCACAGCCAGAGTCCACTTGAAGACAGGAGTTCTAGACCATCCTGGGCAATATAGCGAGACCCCGTCTCTATAAACAATTTAAAAATTAGCCCAGCATGGAGGTACACACCTGTAGTTCTACTTGGGAGACTGCGAGAGGATCACTTGAGCCCAGGAGTTCAAGGCTACAGTGAGCTAAGATTATGCCACTACACTCCAGCCTGGGCAACAGAACAAGACCCCATCTCTAAAATACTTAAAAAGTGAAAAAAAAAAAGGTGAGGGAGAACTTAACTTTCTGAAATATATTTATGTGCCAAAATAATTATAAATGTATTTCTCTTTTCTATAGATGAAAGTCCAAAAGATTATTACAAATGTATGGGATATTTTTCAACCACTTCTTTTTGGTTTAGTTGGAGCAGAAGTATCTGTTTCATCGCTTGAATCAAATATTGTTGGTAAGAATAAATAGAGCACAAAAAATATGAAATTCAAAAATATTTAAGAAAATTATAAATGCATTTATTTTTATTTACAATATATCTTTGAATGGCTACAAGGACCTTCTTCAGAAACACATGTTGATACAGTGTCATATTTTCATATTGCTCTTCCTTTACACTGTGTGCTCTTTCTTTTTTAAACCAGGAACAGCCCTGAATATCTTCCCTGAGTTATCTAAGGAAATAAATATAAGATTTCTTTCCTGAGGGAACATATTTGATACGATCAGCACTTTTTGAGTACTTTCATTTAAAACTATTGGCTGGGTATGGTGGCTCATGCCTGTAAACTTAGCACTTTGGGGGGCCGAAGCGGGCACACTTCTTGAAGTTAGGAGTTCAAGACCTGCCTGGCTAACATGGGGAACCCCATCTCTCCTAGAAATACAAAAATTAGCCAGGTGTGGTAGTGCGCGCCTATAATCCCAGCTACTCAGGAGGCTGAGGCAGGAGAATCACGTGAACCCGGGAGTCGGAAGTTGCAGTGAGCTGAGATTGTACCACTGCACTCCAGCCTGGGCGACAGAGCAAGAATCCTTCTCAAAAAGTAAATTATTATTAATAATAATAAAAGTATTCAAAAAAAGTCTATTAGTTCAGAATTGTATAAATGTCATCTGTCTTATTTTTCATGGAACCTCCACCATCAGATACTGTCTTGCACTTTACAGAGAATCCTCCATCATATTCATTTTTTATTATCATTATTTTATGTAAAAATTAAACACATGAAGAGACAATAGCCTTAAAATGCTTTCGAAAGTTTTAGAAATCATATTCCTGGGCATAAAGAACACTTCTTCACAAATATTTTGTTATTTATGTTTGTTTTCATCTGTTGTAGGCATATCTGTTGCCACTCTTGAGTTTGGCATTATGTGTTCGAATTTTAACCACATATCTATTGATGTGCTTTGCTGGTTTTAGTTTTAAGGAGAAAATATTTATTGCTTTAGCATGGATGCCCAAAGCTACAGTACAGGTAAGAACATATTAAGCCTATTGCTTAATGCTTTTGTTTTGATGCTTTTAAAATTTAAAATGAAAAATGTTACTCCAATCACAAAATATGAGCTATTGTCCTTACTTTTTAAATGTTTGATTGATCATAACTATTCATTAAAATTAACGTAACCAGTCCCAGCTACTCAGGAGGCTGAGATGGGAGAATCACTTGAACCCAGGAGGCGGAGGTTGCAGTAAGCTGAGATGGCACCACTGTACTCCAGTCTGGGTGACAGAGCAAGATTCAATCTCAAAAAAATAAATAAATAAACAAAAACAAACAAAGAAACTCAATGTAACCTTTTTCTATTTTTATTTTTATTTTCATTTTGAGACCAGGTCTCACTCTGTCACCCAAACTGTAGTGCAGTGGCATGATCACGGCTCACTGCAGCCTCAACCTCCTGGGCTCAAACAATCCTCTCACATCAGCCTCCTGAGTAGCTAGGATCACAGTCACCTGCCACCATACCCAACTGCTTTTTTTCAGATTTTTTTTTTTTTTTGAGACAGTCTTACTCTGTTGCCCAGGCTGGAGTGCAGTGGCATGATCTCAGCTCAATGCAACCTCCACCTCCCAGGTTCAAGCGATTCTCCTGCCTCAGCCTCCTCAGTAGCTGGGATTACAGGTGCACACCACCACACCCAGCTAATTTTTGTATTTTTAGTAGATATGGGGTCTCATCATGTTGGCCAGGCTAGTCTCAAACTCCTGACCTCAAGTGATCTGCCCACCTCAGCCTCCCAAAGTGCTGGGATTACAGGCATGAGCCACTGCACCTGGCCTTTTCTTTCTGATTTTTTTGTAAAGAGGAGGTCTTGCTATGTTGCCCAGGCTGATCTTGAACTCCTAGGTTCAAGTGATCTTCCTGCCTCAGCCTCCTAAAGTTCTGGGATTACAAGCATAACCCACTGGGCCCAGCCAATGTAACCTTTTGAAATCTCAGTTTTAAAAGCAATTATTTTGAAATCAAAAAGTATTCTTTCAATAAGTACTTCCTAAGTTTATGAAAATATGTTTTTTATTTTCCTAAAATATATAATAAGAATATATCTGAAAATTGGAGTTTTTATATTTTGCTGAATATAACAAAGCTAAATGTTATGATTTTAAAAAGTAGAGACACAGGCCAGGCATGGTGGCTCATGCCTGTAATCCTAGCACTTCGGGAGGCTGAGGCAGGCAGATCACTTGAGCTCAGGAGTTCAAGACCAGCCTGGGCAACATGGTAAAACCCCCGTCTCTACAAAAAATACAAAAAAATTAGTCAGGTGTGGTGGCACGCACCTGTAGTCACAGCTACTTGGGGGCTGAGGAAGGAGGATTGCTTGAACTCAGGAGGTTGAGGCTGCAGTGAGCTGAGGTCACGCCATTTCACTCCAGCTTGGGTGACAAAGTGAGACCCTGTCACAAAAAAAAGTAAAGTAAAATAGAGACACATTGATTTTTTTAAAAAATACTTTTCCTACCTTGCCACTCACTCCATCACACAAATGCACATATATTTTTTTAATTACACATTTATTTGTATACTATTTGGTTAATGGCTAAATCCCTGCCCCCGCCCCCTTGATAGACTACGTAAGGACAGGGACAGTGTCTGGTTGTTGCCGTTGTTTTTCATTATTTCTCCCTGGCACTTAACACAGTGCCTGACATGCAGGAGGCAAATACGTATTGCATGCCTGCAAGGATGAATGAACGGAAAGGGAAACCTTGTAATTTTGCCCTGTTATTCAAGGATATTCTCCTCCTACTAAAATATATTGCTACTTCTTGTTAGACTGTTTAACTTGGCAGCATAATATACCTTAATTTCCTGTGACTCTTTTCTTAGTTGTTATTCCAAAACAGAAGCTCCTAAATTTTCATGCAAAAAAACCTCTATTATCATGTTAGAAAAGCAGGTTCATAGGGCCAGACTACCTGTTTTGAATACCATGTTACTTGCCTATAACCTCAGGAAAATTATTTTCTAGTCTCTCAGTCCTTCAGTGTTCTCATCTTACAATGAAGTCTATGACTGTATCTGTTTCTTAGCAGTGTTGTCAGGATTCAATGAGATAATCCATGTAAAGTGCTTAGCACTCTCTCTGGCATATGGTGGTGCTCAGTTAAAAAACAATGCTGTTATTTTATCTTACCTTCAAGAAATATAAATAATAACTTTTTATTTTTAATGTCTACTCTAGGGAATAATAAATCTGCAAAAGGAGTATCTGTTCTCTCTCCTTCCAACAATACTCTTGCAATTTTGTTTCATTATTTCATAATTTTCATAAAGCAGGGAAAAAAGAAAAGCTGGTATGAGGAAAGAGACCACTCACTCGAGTCCTGCAGTATTATTCTGCTTCTGCCTATTCCTGTCTGCTGGCTCCAGGCTAGCTTCTACAAAAAGAATATCAGGCTGGTTCCAGGAACTGGCAAGACATAAAAAATTAATTATTTATACAAGTAGAGTCACAACAGCAATAATAGATAACAATAATGTCACAAGTAAATACGATCAACAAATATTTAAATTTCAATTTTAAATTATTTTCACCTTTATCCTCTTCCGCCGTTCTCTGCTGCTAAAATAAAATTGGCTAAGGATCATCTTTCTCTTGTTCCTTAGTTTTGAGTTACTGATAAAAATTAGACTGGAAAAATAGAAGCTATTAGGAGAGTAAATAAATAATTTAATTTACAAATGTAAGATCAGCTTGGCAATTGGATTTTTTTAAAGAAATAATATTAAATCTCAGTCACTAGGAGGAAATCATTTATCATCTAATAAAAGTCCTCACATAATAAGGTTGTCATAAGAATTAAATGAATTGATAAATGGAAAGCTTTAAGAATGATACCTGACATATGATGAATGCCATATAACTATAAAAATATTATTTCTAGTTTCACCATTATCGTCATCATCTCTTAAAAGTCAATGGGTTTGGTTTTTGTTTTTGTTTTTTCTGTTGGCAGTTCTTTTATGTTCAAATCCTCTTCTAAACTGTAAGATTCTTTCAAGGTGGTTTTCTGCATGATTATTTTTTTCTCCCTAGCATCCTCCAGCATACTGGATCATGTTCAGTACATTGAAAGTTATGATATAAAAATAATACCATTTTAAATTATTGATTTAGGATATAGAAATTGATCTTAAATTGAGGGGTTCTTTTGCCATAATGTTCCATATCAGAGGTAATGTTTCTACTATTATGTTGTTACTTTGCAACTCCATCGAAAATATGTTATATATTGGTATTTAATTCCCCCAAATTTTAAGGCAATTTCATGCCTAGTTATTAAACACAAGGAAAGAGAGTTAGCAAGAAATTTGCTTTATGTTATTAAAAATAATGTGGTAGAAGGTAACTAGGGAAAAAAACCTGTGACCCAGTAGAGTCATTCTAAAACAAAAACTTCAAAGGAACTCAATCTCTGACCTGGCAGGGGATGAGGAGTGAAGGAGAAAGAAACTTACTACTATCTGAATACCTACTCTGTGCCAGGTATTCTTCACATCCTAATATTTAATTTTCACAACCGTCCAGTAAGATAAGTATTTTGTTCTTCGTTTTACACGTAAGTAAGTAGAAGGTTAGAGAGTGTGAGTCATTTGTACAAGGTCACTAGCCTGGTTGAAGCAAAAATAGAATTCAAACCCAGTTTGCTAGATTCCAAGCCTGCTGTCAGTTCTGCTATAACCCAGTGCCCCCTGAATAAGGACAACAATGAGAAGAAGGGCAACAAATCCTAGAGAACCAGAAGAAAACTTAATATTTTATTTTGTCTTCTTGTAGTCAAAATCCACTGGTACACGATAAAGGCAACTAAGCAAAACCAGTTTCGTTAGAACTCCTGGTGTTATGAGGGCAACACTCAAAAGAGATATTTGAATAGAGGAACACTGAGAGGACAAGAGTGCAAAATCAGCCGAAAAATGTTTGCATGCTGATTTGTCACTATTGTACTCTTCCTCCACATATATTTGCTAGGAAGAACATGGAACTGATGAGTAACTTATGAAAATTACTGAGTACTTTTTTTTTCTAATAGTCTAGTACTAGATTTTGTTTATTTTAACAGAGCCATTTACATTATATATTAACTCAGTTTAATATTTTTCTTTATGCCCCATTTTTACCCCTAAATGTAGGCTGTGTTAGGTCCTCTGGCTCTAGAAACAGCAACAGTCTCCGCACCCCACTTGGAACCATATGCAAAGGATGTGATGACAGTAGCATTTTTAGCCATCTTGATCACAGCTCCAAATGGAGCTCTACTTATGGGCATTCTGGGGCTTAAAATGCTCACACGCCATTATGATCCAAGCAAAATAATACTGCAATTGCCAGCATTAGAACATCATTAAAAAGTTTACCTGTCATCATCTGCCTACTTCTTTTAATGAATTATTTCACATGACAGAAGAATTTTAAAGTAGAAATATGTAGAAAATCCAGGATTTCGGTACAGGGCTTTTCTTGGACTTTTTACTCCAAAGTTAATTTAATAAAAATAATATTAAATGGAATGCTGTCTTGGTATTTACATACTGTAAGAACAAATTAAATCTGTAAATACCCTAGGAAAGTTTAAAGTAATCCCTCAGGCTGAATTTGATATCATAATGCAAACTGAGCTTAATATAAAATTAAACAAACTTAACGGCAGAAAGAAAAACTGAATGTTGAACTTGGTAAGATAGCCTAAGTTTCCAAATAGGAGGAGTAGAACTCCCTATGATATCCAGTAATTCAGTTAAAAAGATCACTACAAAAAGAAAAAAAAGGGAGTAAAACACATCAACTTTAAATGGGTTAACCGAATAGATTTTAAATTCTGGTTTTGTTGACTACCTGAATAAATAATATGTTAAGTAATAGAACCAAGTTAGTCTTTCCTTATTTCTGCCATGCCCTTAAAATGAAAGTCTGGTTTAGCGGTTTTTAGTTGAAACACTATCTATATTTTTATTTATAGAAATAAAATTAAATCACAAATGGAAGTAAACTATATTTTTTTCAATTAGTATTTTAAAATCTAGACATAAAAGGCAGCCTCCAAAAATGAAAGACTTGGAGACTACTGTCATGTGGCAGTTTCTTCTCCTTAGTAATATAAAATTACCTTTTAATTCTGGCTGATTAAATCTGCCATGTTAATGTAGAACCCATCACAAGCAAAGTGAGTTTTAGTTAACTTCAAGACTCTTTATTTTAAAGTTATAAGAGTCATATAAACACTTCTAAAATGGCCTTATTGAATGGCATTTTAGAAATTCTTTAGACTTCTTTGGCAAAAGCTCAATGCAAGGACTGAATATTACTTTCATTCCTCTTTTTCCTCTTCTCACAAGCAAGATATTAAAATACCACAGAATATGAAATTTACACATACATTTGCCAAGTGAAGCAATTAAAATTTAAGGCAATCAAAACTATGTGTTATCCCTATTAAGACTAAGGGCGTTTACAGAATATATCACCGAAACTGCCAAAAGTTCTAAAACCGTCTGGGAAATAACTCTTAGAAAATACACTCTGGGAGAATAACTCTGGGAAAAGATAAAATAGCTACTGTTTTAGTGACATTTTCTCTTTATAGTTTTACAACAAAGTACAGACTCCATTTTCAAATATTGTAATTCTAGTACTCAAATTCTAAAAATTTAAACTGTGCCAGTGTTTTGACTACTATTTAAATCATGAGGACATCTCATTGTCACTTATAAAAAAATAAAAATATAGGCAGGGTGTTGTGGCTCATGCCTGTAATCCCAGCACTTTGGGAGGCCAATGCGGGCAGATCACGAGGTCAGGAGTTCGAGACCAATCTGACCAACATAGTGAAAGCCCGTCTCTACTAAAAATACAAAAAATTTGTCAGATGTGGTGGCATGCACCTGTAATCCCAGCTACTCAGACGGCTGAGGCAGGAGAATCGCTTGAACCCAGGAGGCAGAGGTTGCAGTGAGCTGAGATCACACCACTGCACTCCAGCCTGGGAGACAGAGCAAGACTCTGTCTCAAAAAAAAAAAAATAATAAAATATATGTGTATATATATATATTTACAAGATAGTATTTTACATTCACAAGAGGATTAGATTTCAAAGTAGAAAGTTTATTTTAATAAAAGAGAGATAAGAAATAATTTTCAAAATGAGGAATTGTGTTTTTGATTAGGAGGAAAATTGTTGTACCTTTTCTTTTTATTCTTTATTTATTGAACTTTCTCTAAGTGTCTGTGATATATGTTTATAATACTGAAATAGTCGCCGTTTTAAGGTAGTGTGGCAGATGTTGTTATTTATTTGAAATTTTAAGTTTTTTATTTATAAAAAGTTTTTATAAAAATTTATTAATATAATTTAAAAATTACAACCAGTTAACCATGTGTATGATATTAGTGTTTATAGTATTTAAACAAATAAGGCTGGGCACAGTGGCTCACACCATCCCAGCACTTTGGGAGGCCAAGGCGGGTGGATCAGGAGGTCAGGAGAAGGAGACCATCCTGGCTAACATGGTGAAACTCTGTCTCTACTAAAAATACAAAAAACTAGCCAGGCATGGTGGTAGGTGTCTGTAGTCCCGGCTACTCGGGAGGCTGAGGCAGAAGAATCACTTGAACCTGGGAGGCAGAGGTTGCAGTGAGCC
Organism: Homo sapiens; assembly: GCF_000001405.40. Lineage (NCBI taxonomy): Eukaryota > Metazoa > Chordata > Mammalia > Primates > Hominidae > Homo > Homo sapiens. The sequence goes on along the minus strand of NT_187383.1, from coordinate 664,290 downwards.
AAGATCACACCACTGCACTCCAGCCTGGGTGACAGAGTGAGACTCCATCTCAAAAAAATAAAATAAAATAAAATAAAATAAAAAACAAATAAATACAAGATTGTTGTTTCTTATAAACTTTTTTTGTATCTTTGCCTATTTTTTTCACTGTTTAAGGAATTTTTATTAAAGCAAAATTTTATAATCCAAATTACCTTTCCTTGCTCAGTTATCAATTCTGTTACTTAAAACAGAAGTGACATTCTTAGCTATTCCACACTAATGAATTACAAAATTAAAGGAATGCTTTAAATTTTTATACTTTGCTGAAAATTATTTATCACAGAGTCTGAAAAGCATTACAGTGTTTCTATATTTTATTATTTTGGGAGGATTTTTTCTTTTCAAATCAATAAGTAATCTAGGACTATCATTGCATTTGTTAGATCTGACATCTGCTTGGTATGTAAAGTTCAAAGTTTCCTTTTTAAATTTATTTTATACTTTACAAATTTTTTCCATAGTATTTAAGGTTTTTGATATTGAGATATTTTTCTTCAGTGATGCTCAAGTTTCTTTCTGTGGTCCCTGATCAGTTTTAAACAATTGGAACACCAGTGGCACCATTAACTGCTTTCTGGGCAGCCTCTTTAGCTTGGTGGTCTTGTAGTACAGCTATACCTTTGTCAACCTTAGTATAGAGAGGCTCTGGAGATTCAAGCATATGAAGGAGTTCCAAATTACCAATCTCCAACAACATACCAATGATTTTACCAGCACGACTAGGGCATGGCTTGAAGAAGAGGAAACAGCCATTCACTCGTTTCCTTTTGCTTTTGAGGAGGAGCAGATGCCATCATGGAAGTCAAAGGTTCTTGACCTTCTACATGAACAGCAGGCTGCTTCAAGGTAACCTGGGGCTGTGCATGAAAATGCCATTGAGGATTGTGAGCTTCCATAGCATATTTATACTGTGAAATGGTACAAAAAGCAGGAGTATCTGTAGTAGCAGTAGCGGCAACTGCAGGATGTGCTCCTATTGTCTGTTTCGATGGGTTACAACAGCTGTGTTGACATGACTCATGGAAGCTATGAAGAAGCTGGTCTCTTACTACTAAATGTAGTGAGCTAGGAGCGGCTTGGGCATATTTTTCAATGGATGAGGTCTGGCACCCTGAGCAATTTAGGGAGGATTTGAACTTAGTTGAGCAGTTTGGCTAGGAGAATACTTTGCAGCATGGCTCTCAGTCTGTGGGATAACTGCCATGAAGTCAATTGAAGAAGGTGCTGGCTGATAGGAACTGATTCCCAGGTTGAGCATAGTTTTTACACTTGCCATTCTTTGCACATACTGCACTGGTTAATGAGCTGAGCCTGGTGCTCTTCATTGCTTTTCTTCCCATGGAGTTAACACTATATACAATGGCTCAGTGCCCTCAATGCTACCATTCATTTCTGAAAGTCCTTTAGTTGCTTCCTCTGGAGAGGAGAAACATACACAAATCAAACCCTTTGTTGTGACAACCATCCTTCATAACCTTTGCATTGGTGATTGTACCAAGTGGAGAAAGTTCTTTCCAGAGACATTCATCAATACCATCAAGATTTTTTGCATAAATGTTAACACTTTGTTATCTGGTGATCCTATACTGCTTGATCTTTTCAAATTTGCACACAAGTTCCATCTGCCATTCTACTTTTTTTCTGAGCTTGACCAACATCAATTTGTTTTCCATTGAGCTTCTTTCTGTTCATCTCATCTGCGCATCTTTATGCCTTTCAAAGCTGACAAATCCAAAACCTTTGGGTTTTCCACTTTCATTAACCACTACTATCACACTTAAGACAGATCCCAACTTGCCAAAGAGATCTTTAAGGCACCTACCATCCATGTCTTCTCCAAAAATCTTCCTGTAAACATTGGTGAACTTTTTAACTCTGAGTTCTGCTTCTCATTGTTTACAAGACTTAATCCAACAAAGACTTTGCTATCATTTAGAAGCATCCATTTCATTTTTGAATAGATCTTTCAGCTGCTTCTGTGTCTCAAAATGTACAATGCCATCACCCTTGAAACTGTTTTCACCACAAAGCACCTAATGTGAAAGTGATAGAGACAGGAGGCAGCCAAGGGTCCTCTGGTAAAACACCACCTTCAAGACTAAAACAGCCTGAAGGCTGATAAACTGGACTGCAGGTCCTGGTTGAAGCCGCCCTTTCCTCACTGATTCTGAATAATGCCCACCTGTGCACTGGGATTACGGGGTGGAGCCTTGGGAAGTTTGTGCGGTGTGCAGTGGAGAGGAGTCTGGCCTGTTCCCATGTAGTGACCTAGGATTTAATCTATGAGGCGGGAAACCTGCTAGCAGGACTCTTTCTCTCTTTGCTGAGAGTTATTTTTGCTTTTTCCTTTCCACCCAATAAACTCCGTTCCCCCTCACCCTTCAAGTGTTTGCGTGCCTTTTCCTGGTGGTATGACAAGAACCTGGTTTTTTCTGCAACAAAAAGATGTTACCAAAAGCAGATATATCATGCAATGCTTTATAATCAATAGATTTGTCCAATTTTTTTATGAACATGTTGCCCACTCCATTTTTGCGGAGTGATGGATCACACCGAGACCACTTAGTGTGTATTGGCTAGTCTTTTATAACATCAAAATTCATGGGGTCTTAACCACATTCCACATCCTGCGTTTCCCAAGGAGCGCCGGTGATCTGGTTCCTGTAGCCCGGGATAGAGAGGACCGGCCAGCAGGCCTGGTCATGTGCGGTGCGAGGACAGGGGATGGCTGGGACGCTGGGCTCACCTCTGCACCTGTCTGCCGGTAGGGCCACAGGCTGCGACCTTTCCGTGAAAGGAGAGTAAGGGCTGGGGCGGAAGCCTGGGCCAGCGCACAAACACAAAATCACCTGGAATCCCAAACTACTCCACGGCCGAGGAACTGCGACCCGCAGAGGGCTGGGACGAGGGTGGCGGTGTAGGGTCCAGCGTCCAGGCCTCGGGATCCTGTTCCTTCTTGAAGCTGCTTCGGAGCTGCGAGGGGGCGGGGGGGTCGCTCTCGGCTGCCTCACCGGGTAATCTTATACAAGAAGAAAAGGAAAATGTCTGTGGCAGTGAAGACAAGGATTTTTTTGTAAAGTGTTTTGCAGGGGTGACCGGTGTTAAAACAGAAACCTTTTTTTTTTTAAGTTTTTTTCATGGGATGTTTTTCGGGGGAATGGATTTTTCAAGATAATAAATATGTGCTGATCCTGGAGAACACACTCCACACTCTCAGCACTAACCGCTTGGGAGAAGGGACCCATTAATGTTTAATTGTACCTTCTCTTGTGGCCCCATTTTTTCCCTTTTAATTATGTAACATTGGAGCCTACAGAAAGGTAGAAAAAATGGGCACCCACATAACCACCACCTAAATCCCATTAATTGTTAATATTTTGTCAAGTTTTCTTTATGTAATTTTTCAATTTGAATTAAAAGTAAATTATAGGCATCATGCTAATTTGCCTCTGTATACTTAAGCCTGCATATTCAAAAACTAAAGCCATTTTCTTGCATAACCACAATTCCCTTATCCTTTCACACCAAGTTATCAGTAATTCCTTAAAATTATTCAACTCCCAAATATTTTCAAATATAAACAGTCATGCCCCATGTAACACATTTCAGTCAACTAGTCGACCATCTACACTGTGGTGGTCTCATAAGATTAAACTGGAACATATATAGAAACTTGATAAACAGTATATGGCCCTTGATATGGCATTGCAGCTCAAGTAGAGGAATGACTGATGCTCAGTAGTGGTGCTGGAACATTTGATTTTCCTTATAAAAAATAAATAAGTGAAAATATATAGGGCCAGATGTAGTGGTTCATGCCTGTAATCCCAGCGCTTTGGGAGGCCAAGGTGGGCAGATCATCTGAGGTCAGGAGTTTGAGACCAGCCTGGCCAACATGGTGAAACCCCGTCTCTACTGAAAATATAATTAGCCTGGTGCAGTGGCAGGTGCCTGTAATCCCAGCTACTCAGGAGGCTGAGGCACGAGAATTGCTTGAACCTGGGAGGCTGAGGTTGCAGTGAGCTGAGATCGCACCAGCACTCCAGCCTGGGTGACACAGTGAGACTCTGTCTCAAAAATATACGTATATACACCATCTAGGTTTGCATAATTACACCCTATGATTCACATTTTCTTAATTTTTTCCCAATTATAGCAATTTTTAAAAGCCAGGATCCAATCGAGAACTGGACACTACATTTTGTTTTTGTCTCTTATTTTGTAATCCAGTAGATTTCTCCATACTTAATCCCTTGCTAAATGGCATAGACTTTTTTTTTTTTTTGAGACGGCATCTTGCTTTGTCACCAGGCTGGAGTGCAGTGGCGTGATCTTGGCTCACTGCAACCTCTGCCTCCTGGGTTCAAGAGATACTCTTGCCTCACCCTCCTGAGTAGCTGGGATTACAGGTGCCTGCCACCACGGCTGGATAATTTTTTGTATTTTTTTTTTTTTTTTGAGACGGAGTCTCGCTCTGTCGCCCAGGCTGGAGTGCAGTGGCGGGATCTCGGCTCACTGCAAGCTCCGCCTCCCGGGTTCACGCCATTCTCCTGCCTCAGCCTCCCAAGTAGCTGGGACTACAGGCGCCCGCCACTACGCCCGGCTAATTTTTTGTATTTTTAGTAGAGACGGGGTTTCACCATGTTAGCCAGGATGGTCTCGATCTCCTGACCTCATGATGCACCCTCCTCAGCCTCCCAAAGTGCTGGGATTACAGGTGCGAGCCACCGTGCCCAGCTGGTATTGACATTTTAAAGGAACCATGCTAGTTGTCACGTAGAATATCTCACATTCTGGATTTGTGGGACTGTTCATGGTTTCATTAAGTTTGTTTGTCTATCCCCTCAATTTTCTGAAGTTTGAAGTTAAATTTAAAGACTTGGTTACATTCAGGTTAAATTTTTTGGCCAGAATCATTCAAAGGTGATGTCGTATACTTCCAATAGTGGCACATTATGAAGTTTATGTCTGGTTGTCCCACTGCCAGTGATGCTAATTTTCATTCCTAAATTAAGGTGGTGATTGCCAGATGTCTATATTGTAATGGTATATTTTCCTCTGTAATTAGCCAGTGATCTCTGAGTTTATACCTTGGTACTACATGAATATTCATTTTTCATCAAATTTCTCAAAATTAGTAGACTTTGTTTTTTAGAGCAATTTTAGGTTTACAGAAACCAATGAGCAGAAAGTACACAGAGTTCCCATGTAACACTACCTTCCTATCCCACTCTCCACCCAATCCCTACCTCTGTACACAATTTACCCTATTATTAACACCATGTATTAATGTGGTATATTGGTTACAATTGATACATATTGATACATTATTATAACTGAAGTCCATAGTTTACATTAGCGTTCACTCTTTGTGTTGTAAAGTTCTGTGAATTTTGACAACTGTATAATGACAGATATCCACCAGTATCATACAGAATAGTTTCATCACCATAAAAATCCTCTGTGTTCCACCTATGTATCCCTCTCTTACTTTCCTCAAATTGCTGGAAACCACTGATGTTTCTACATTATAGTATTGCCTTTTCCAGATAGTCATACACTTAGAACCATGCAATATATAACCTTCTCATGCTGGCTTCTTTTACTTAGCAATATACATTTAAGTCTTCTCCATGTCTTTTCTTAGCTTAATATCTGATTTCTTTTTAGTGCTGTATAATATTCCCTTGTCTGGATGTACCACAGTTTGTGTAGCCATTAACCTACTGAAGGATATCTTGGTTGCTTCCAAGTTTTGGCAGTTATGAATACAACTGTTATAAACAGCCATGTGCAGGTTTTTAAGGTTTTAACAAACTCTCTCTGGCAGTTTCTGTTTTTCCTCACTTTTCAAGCCCATGGGCTATCTCCCAGTGCTGTTCATTTTAATATTCTGCAGAGTACTTAAGCATTACAGAATATAGAAGCTGGAAGATACTTGGCAGTCATTTAGTCCCTCATGTTCTAGATGAGAAAACTGAAGCCCAGATAACTTATTATTTGTGCAGTCCCCCAATCTGAGTGTCAAATCCACCTCTCCCAGTTGTTTTCTGTTCAAATAACCCTGTGAACTTCAGTGAACCTCACTGACCACATCATCATTATTCACCAATAGTTCCCCAATAGATCCACTCTACATTAGCTCATTTCAAATGTTCTTTTCCTTTCACGCACATACCATACAGTACTTAAAATTCTGTTGACAACAATCAATATGAATTCAAATTAAGTTCTTGCCCCAAGGATGTGACTTCTACTACACAGTTTCTTTTGGCCTGAGGGCAATTCCTAGGGCATGAACTTAGTCATATGCCCTCAACAGACAGCACTCTAAGGAAGCTGGGGAATGAGGGTCTCCATTCTGCAGGGAGGCCTGGACTACACACCACAGAAGACACTACTCTGTCCATCCCTCATGTCATTTGGATCCATGACTTCATATAACTTCTTTCCATCTAGGAATAGCTCCTCCAGGATTTTGGTTGGTTTCTTTTGCTGGGGAAACGTGAAAGTAACATTCATGGAGGGAAAAATAGCTCCTTGGCTCTTCAACTGGTCTTTCACCCTAAACTGATCATCTGCCTTTCCTACTATACAGGTACTATCAGGTTTACATTCTTACCCTCAGCTAGCACCTCCACTGGTCTAGGTCACTTACCTGGTGATAGGAGAGGGGGGTGTAGTAGCCATGGCTACTAGACTTGTCTTTTTAAATTGAGCAATCAAAATTTAGTAAGGGACTACTTAAACATCCCTTGGCTGCCAAACACATTCCTGTCTACTTCCGTTGTGTAACAGCATTGAATTGCAGAGATAAGAAGCAGAAATTTCCCAAGTGAATTCCTGGGGGTGACGGTAAATAGTGCTACTCTTTCTTCAATCCATGGTCCTCTTTCTATTAGCGACATGGGACCATATAATGGTTACTGATCTAGGATATATGCTTGTATCCCATCCCTGCAGCTTCAAAGGGCTACTGGAGTCTGTTCCATCACTCCATCAGTTTGACAGCTTCTAGTTGTTGTGATTTCGTGATTTGTATTAGGATCACTGAAATGCATTTTCATGTGTCCACCACTGCAACTGCAGTGCTACAAAGTACATTCCCTTTATACAGTGCTATAAAGTACAATGCAAGGATGTGTAGGATTCCATATTGGAGGATTAAACATTCTGTCAACCCTTGGATAGTGGTGCTGGTTGAGGCCATGTAAGTAGGAAAGATAAATCCATACTCAGAATAAGTATCAGTTCCAGCCAAGATGAATCATTACCCTTCCTGTGATGGAAAGAATCCAGTGCATTCAGCTTGCCACCATGTGGCTACTTGGTGTCCTTGAGGGATGATGCTATCTTGAGGCCTCAGTGTTGCTCTGTCTTGATGACAACTTTGACATTCAGAAGCAGCAGTAGCTAGATAAGACTTAGTCAGTGGAGACTTCTGCTGTTTGGGCCTCTGCATAACCTCCATCCTTGTCACTATATTTATTCACCAATTGTGCCAGTACTGAGCTGGCCAATGGAAGAGGTTGGCTAACATCATCTGGCTGAGTCACTTTTCTCCTTGGTTGTTGATAGATACCTCTTGTAGGTGTTAACATGTGAAACAAAGATCTTCATACTTTTTGTACATCCCCATAAGTCCACCTATATGTCCTTTTCTCAGATGTCTTTTTCTCCAGTCTTCCAAATTTTCTCCTTCCATCCCCCTGACCTGTAGCCAAGCCATTTGACCATGAGTCAGTACATTCTTACTTTGAGTCTCTTCTCTTTCCATGCAAAGTGAATGACAAGGTGCGTAGTGCAAAGTTCTGCCTACTGAATTTTTTTTTTTAATTTTTTTTATTTTTTGAGACAGAGTCTTGCACTGTCACCAGGCTGGAGTACAGTGGCGTGATCTCAGCTCACTATAAGCTCTGCCTCCTGGGATCATGCCATTCTCCTGCCTCAGCCTCCCAAGTAGCTGGGACTACAGGTGCCCGCCACCATGCCCAGCTAATTTTTTTTGTATTTTTTTAGTAGAGATGGGTTTTCACCATGTTAGCCAGAATGGTCTCGATCTCCTGACCTCATGATCCACCACCTTGGCCTCCCAAAGTGCTGAGATTACAGGTGTGAGCCACTGTGCCTGGCCAAGAATTTATTTTTGAGTTGAATTTTTAAATATTAAAAAATTTTAAATATACAAACAAAAATTGTATATATTTGTAGTGTACAACCTGATGTTTTGAAATATGGATACACTGTGAAATGGCTAACTCAAGCTAATTAATACATGTGTTACCTCACATACTTATCATTTCTTTTGTGGTGAAAGCACTTAAAATCTACTGTCCTACCAATTTTCAAGTATGCAATACATTGTTATTAACTGTAGTCACCATGTTGTACAATAGGTCTCTTGAACTTGTTCTTCCTGCTTATCTTAATTTTTGTATCCTTTGACCAACATCTCCCCAGTTCTACCTTCCTTCCCCTCCCCTAATAACCATTATTCTCTTTTCTGCTTCTATGTGTTTGACTTTTTTAGATTCCACATATAAGCGAGATTACATGGCATTTATCTCTCTGTGCCTGGCTTATTTCACTTAATATAATGTCCTCCAGTTTCATCCATGTTATTACAAAAGACAGGATTTCCTTCTTTAAGGCTGAACAATATTTCATTATGTATATACACACCACATTTTCTTTAATCATTCATCTGTTAAAGGATACTTAGGTTGATTTCATATCTTGTCTATTGTGAATAATGTTGCAATGAACATGAGGTACAGATTTTTCTTTGACATATTGAATCATTTTCTTTGGGTATATAAATAGTACTAGGATTGCTGGATCATATGGTAGTTTTATTTTTAACTTTCTGAGAAACCTCTATATTATTTTTCATAATAGCTGTACTAATTTACATTCCTGCCAACAGTATACAAAGGCTCCCTTTTCTCCACATCCTCGCCAACACATGTTATCTTTTGTCTTTTTCATAGTAGCCATTCTAAAAGGGATGTCTCATTGTGGTTTTGATTTGCGTTTCTCTGATGACTGGTGATGTTGGTTATTTTTTCATATTCCCGTTGGCCATTTGTATGTCTTCTGTGGAAAAATGTTTATTCAGGTACTTTGCCTCCCTTTCATTAATCAGGTTATATGTTTTCATGCTATTGAGTTGTATGAATACTTTATATATTCTGGATATTAATCCTTTATCAGATGTATGGCTTGCAAATATTTTCTCCCTTTTTGTAGGCTATCTCTTTACTCTATTGATTGCTCCCTTTGCTTGCACAGCTTTTTAGTTTGATATAATCCCACTTGTCTATTTTTGCTTTTGTTGCCTGTGCTTTGGGGGTCATATCCAGAAAATCATTGCCCAGACCAGTCTCATGGAGCTTTTCCTGAATGTTTTCTTCTAGTAGATTTATGGTTTCAGGTTTTATATTTAAGTCTTTAGTCCATTTGTGTTTTTTTTTTGTATATGGTATGAGATAAGGGTCTAATTTCATTTCTCTGCATGTGGAGTTCTCCCAACACCATTTATTGAAAAGATTGTCCTTTCCCCATTGTGTATTCTTGGCATATTTACTGAAAATCAATTGGCCTTAAACGTGGATGTATTTTGAGGCTCTCTATTCTATTCCATTGGTCTACCAGTCTGTTCGTATGCCAGTATCATGTTATATTTTTGATTACTATAGCATCATAGTATATTTTGAAACTGGATAATGTGATGCCTCCTACTTTGTTCTTTTCGCTCACAATTTGCTATTTGGAGTTTTTTTGTGGTTTCACATGAATTTGGGGACTTTTTTCTGTTTACATAAAAAATATCATTGGAATTTTGATGGAGATTACATTGAATCTGTAGATCACTTTGGGTACTAAGAACATTTTAACAGCATGAATTCTTCTAATCCAGGAAGATGGGATATATTTCCATTTATTTGTGTCTTCTTCAATTTCTTTCACCAATGTTTTATAGTTTTCAGTGTACAAGTCTTTCACCTCCTTCGTTAAATTAATTCCTAAGTATTTGTGTAGCCATTATAAATGAAATTGCTTTCTTGATTTCTTTTTCAGATAGTTCATTGTTAGTGTATACAGATGCTACTCATTTTTTTATGTTGATTTTGCATCCTGCAACTTTACTGAATTAATTTACTAGTTCCAACAGTTTTTTTTTGGTGGACTCTTTAGGGTTTTCTACATTTAAGATCATGTTGTCTGCAGAGACAATTTCACTTCTTCCTTTCTGACTTTAATGCCTTTATTTCTTCTTCTTGACTAATTGCTAGAACTTGAATAGAAGTGGTGAAAATGGGCATCCATCTTGTTTCTGATCTTAGAGAAAAAGCTTTCAACTTTTTACCATTGAGTATGATGTTAGCTGTGGGCCTATCATATATGCCTTTATTGTGTTATATGGACATTGATACCTAATTTGTTGAAAGTTTTTATTACAGAAAGATGTTGAATTTTGTCAAATGCTTTCTCTGCATCCATGGAGATATTCATATAGTTTTTGTCCTTCATTCTGTTAATGTGTATATCACATTTATTGATTCGTATATGTTGAACCGTCCTTGGGAGGATTTAATCTACTGCTATCTTTCCATAGCTGAAGTAGGTTGCTATCATTTTTTACTTACATCCGCATCCTGAGTTGATCTTCCAATGAACAAGCTTAGCTTTTTTCCTCCTTTAGCAATATTGGAACTCCCACATAGGCAGAGTTGCCAGCTGAGGGAGAGAATCTATTGTCACAATTTGGATAATGTGGGGACCTGGATCACCTGATCATACTGCTTACTTGTGTCCTCTAGTCTTTCTCATGCCCAATCCTTGATGTGATATGGTTTGGCTCTGTGTCCCTACAAAATCTCATCTCAAATTATAATCCCCACATGTAGAGAGAGGGACCTGGTGGGAGGTGACTGGATCATGGGGACAATTTCCCTCATGCTGTTCTCATGATATTGAGTTCTCATGAGAGTGGATAGTTTAAAAGTGTTTGGCACATCCCCCCTTGCTCTCTGTCTCTCCTGCTGCCTTCTGAAGAAGGTGCTTGCTTCACCTTTGCCTTTAGTCATAAGTGTAAGTTTCCTGAGACCTCTCCAGCCATACGGAACTGTGAGTCAATAAACCTCTTTTGTTTATTAATTACCCAGGCTTGGGTAGTTCTTTATAGCAATGTGAAAATGGACTAATTCAATGTGCTACTTCTATTTTATTATGATTTGTTGCTGGGCCAGCCTGTCCTTATGATCTGGTAGATCTAACAAAACCAAACTCATGGTGGGAACTTTTAGCCACATGGTCACTTAATATTTGTTGTCAGATAATCCATCTCTACCTAGGTGCAGTAGCATGCTAGGAGCTATTAAAGTACACAATTATGCTATATATTTATACAATATACAATTACTTGCAGAGAGAATGACCATGCCAGTGAACCCCACAAGACTATGTGTGAATCGTCTATTAGGGTTTGCTATAAACTCTACATGGTGCTTTTTCCAACTGCATATACTTCTAATACCATAGAGCCTACTAGAGTGTATGGCTCAAACAGTAGGGCTGCTTGCCCTGTATCCTGGACCTGCTGCAGAGGCCTTTTCTGCCCTAAGCTTTTGTCAAAGGTGGAAGCCTTCTGTGTCACTCAGCAAATGTGTCAGAACAGTATTCCTTAGTATAGGGGGACCAATGGGCCCCCTAAAATCTTCTGTGACTGATGTCACAGGTCCTTAAATCTTCAGATGATTTTCTCTCTCAGGGATGCATGTGTCTCACTAGGCCATCCAACATGCTATTTCTTACCCAGTCTATTTTAACTGGTAAATAAAATGGACAAATGTAACATGCTACAGAATGTCCAGACAGCTCACGTCTCTGGACTACATTAGGACAGAGAGTCAAAGAACTAATATACATCTTGGACAAGTCTCTAAATGCATGCTGTTGTCTTTCCCATGAATGTGAATTGCTTCTGGTAAATTTCACTCTAAGTACTGCTTCAGTTATTTTACATATATAATGATTGGTAATCTTTTCATTTTAATTCAATTTTAAGCATGTTCTAATTTTTGTTATAATTTCTTCTTGCTTCCATGAATCATTTGGAAGCTGTTTGTAGTTTCTAAAATTCATGGATTACTTTTGGATAAGTTTTTGTTATTGATTTCTAATAGTGCTATTACACATTTGTTATACCAATGTAAACATTTGATACTACCTTTAGGCCTAATATCTGGTCAATTTTTGTAAATACTCCAAGTGTGCTTGAAAAGAATAGAAATTCTTTAACTGTTGATTAGCCTTACTAATTTTACGTTTATTTATTCAATTACTAAAAATGAAATGTTAAAATCTCTCACTGTGTAGATTTTTTTATTGCTTTTTCCAATTCTAATTTTGGCTTTATTTATTTTGAGACTACATTATTAGGTATCCACAATTTTATAAAAATTAAGAAAAAATTAGAAAAGTTTAGAAAAAAATTAGAAAAATATAGAAAATGATGTGACAGAAGCACACATGGGCTTTATCTGGATGATCTCTTGTCAGGTTTGTATCCTGGGGAAGGCCTTCACAGCAAGAGATGGACCAGAGGTTTGAGACAAGGGGGCCACCACTCAGAAGGGGAGGAGGGCAAAGGAACTCCTGAGGGAGGAAAGTATCAGAGAGGAGGCTTTCATGTCTCAGTGATATCACTCAGCAGCATGGCATGGAGTCTGTAGTTCACAGAGTTCCAAAGAGCAGAAGCAGCTTGGGGTCTTTACAGCCTAGAGTTTATCTGTGGCAAGCAGATTTTGGACGTAGTTTCCCAGGGCATGTAAATCAGGCAGGCTCTAAATGCCTACAGATCTGCATGTCTGGGCTATGTTTAACACAATTGGATGTTTAAAAATTTGAGTTTGGTGCCAGTTGGTTTTTGAGCTAATGGGTTTCAGCTTGCTGTGAAGAAATAACCTAGGCGCCAATACACAGAGGCCATCCTTGTCTCATTTACATTATATGCAGTGACTCTATCCTTTTTTGCTCACAATTGTTTTATTCATTTCTTTTAGATTTGTTTACTTTACTGAGATTATTTGGTAGGTAAGATTTCAGTTTATTGTAGTTTGCTAATTCATTATTCAAAGTGTTCTAATAAAAATTTTGCTCCATCCTTAATCCCCATTTAAACAAAGCTGCTGTGGGTAAGGTCATCAATGGCCTTCGTGTTATCAAATCCATTTTGTTAACAAAATTTTAATGTTTAAAATTTTCTTATGTGTACACATGTTTAATTTATGTAATTTCAAAACGGGGTATCATACATGGAATTTGGTAGTTTTCTTTCCTTTTTTTGTTCACTTACTCTGTTTTTTAATGCTTTACTGTAACCCACAATGCAATGTCCCCAATATTTATTATGTATAACTGATATTCACATAAAACATATTTTGTCATTAAGTGTTATCTTTTTCCACATAGGTGTTCCTGTCTTTAGTCTTCTATTTTCTCTCTCTCCCGCTTCTCTCCCACCCTTCCTCTCTCCATTTATGTACATATTTAAATCATTTTAAAAATCATTTTATGTATCAGTTCAAAGCCTTCAGTGTAAATTGAGGGTCCAATTTTGTTTTCTTTGAATTGTTTATTTTCATATATTAATTTTTCATCTACATGTAGATTCTCAATTTTTTACTACTCTTGCTTATTCTTAATTAATACAATTGTTTTTCTTAATTGATCAATTCCAATAGTTCTATAGTAGGTGCTGATATCTGGTGAGAAAAGTTCCTCTCAATAGTCTTTTTTTGGGTAAAATGTCCTGACTATTCTTCTACATGAACTTTAAGATAATTTAATCCAATTTTAAAATGCTTTTGTGATTCTAATGTGAATTTAATTGAATTTATATATAATTTTAGGAGATTTATGTTTTTACAAGAGTTTTGTTTGTTTTTTTGAGACAGGGTCTCACTTTGTCACCCAGGCAGGAGTGCAGTTGTGGTATCTCAGCTCACTGAAGCCCCAAACTCCCACCTCAGCCTCCCAAGTACCTGGTTCTATAAGCATGCGCCAAGCCCAAATAGTTTTTTGTTTTGTTTTGTTTTGTTTAGATATAGCGTTTCACAATTTGCCGAAGCTGGTCTTGAACTCCTGGGCTCAAGCAGTCCTCCTGCCTCAGCCTCCCAAAGTGCTGGGATTACAGGTATGAGCCACTGCACCTAGCCCCATGTGTTTCTTATTTAATAGCTTTTGTTAACATTTTTATAGTTTTTTTCTTGTAGATCTTCTTTCTTGGTAAATTTATTTTACCTTTATTATTTTTGTTATTGTGAATATTTTTACCATTAGCATTTCAAGGTGCTTATTGCTAATGTATTTTGTATTATGATCTTATTTCCAAATACCTTACCAATATTCCTCTTTAAAATATTTGAAAGTTCTGTTTTTCCTAATCTCTATGATTTGCTAGGCATATAATCATATCCACAAAAAGTTTTCTCTATATTTATACTGATTATTTCATTTAAAAATCTTGTTACATTCATGGATCCTCCAAGATAATCTTTAATAACAAATAATGACAGCAGCTATTCCTACTGGTTCCTTGTTTTAATTGAAATGTTCCTTTATGATTTAAAATACTTATTTTGTAGGCATTTCATAAATAACGGCTATGTTTAGACACTTTCTTTCAATTTCTATTTTACTCAAGAATCTTCATTAGGAGTGGATGTTTAATCTTAACAATAGCCCTCTCAGCATCTATTGATATAATCACATTTTCCTCTTCTTTGATGTCAATTATGTAATTGTGTTAATATACTTAACTGATATTGAAATACCCATGAATTCCTGAAATACAATGCTCTTTGCATACTGTATTACTCTTTTTTGTTGTTGCAATTATTGATAACAGTGCTGGGTTTTTATTTAGAATATTCATTCACATGTATAAGTCAGATTGGTCTATAGTTTTGGTTTTTTTGTTTGTTTTTATTTTTGTTTTGAGATGGAGACTTGCTCTGTCACCCAGGCTGGAGTGCAGTGGCGTGATCTTGGCTCACTGCAACCTCTGCCTCCTGGGTTCAAGCTGGGATTACAGACATACACCACCATGCTGGGCTAATTTTTGGATTTTTAGTAGAGACGGGGTTTCACCATATTGTTCAGGCTGGTCTTGAACTCCTGATCTTAAGTGATCCACCTGCCTTGGCTTCCCAAAGTGCTGGGATTACAGGTGTAAGCCATGGCACCTGGCCTATAGTTTTGTCTTATGTTTATCAGGTTTTCATATTAATGCTGCACTGCCTATGTGAAATGAATTGGTTTTTCTTTTTTAAAAAAATTTGGGATACTTTAAATAACATTGGAATTATCCTTCTTGCAACCCTAGTACTTTTTAAATTATGGATTTAAAAAATCATTTTACATTATCTTCTTTGTAACTGGTCTACTAACATTTTTAATTTCTTCTTGGATTAGTTTTGGTCATTTATATTTTTCCAGAAAATTACCCATTTTCTCTAGATTTTCCAATGTGTGGTCATATAGTTGCATGCAGCATTTCAAAGTGAATCTTTCTTTTTTCTTTTCTTTTTTTTTTTTTTTTTTTTTGAGATGGAGTCTTGCTCTCTGGCCCAGGCTGGAATGCAATGGCATGACCTTGGCACACTGCAACCTCTGCCTCCTGGATTCAAGTGATTCTTCCACCTCAGCCTCCCGAGTAGCTGGGATTACAGACATCCACTATCATGCCCAGTTAATTTTTGTATTTTTGTAGAGCGAGTTGTCACAATGTTGGCCAGGCTGGTCTTGAACTCCTGACCTTAGGCAATCTGCCCACCTTGGCCTCTCAAAGTGCTGGAATTAATTACAGGTGTGAGCCACCGCACCTGGTCCTCAAAGAGAATCTTTCTACCTTCATCTTATTTTACTTCTTGGTAGCATTCTACAGAGTTGAAGATTGTACTTGTGAGTTTTGAGTTTCTTGATTTGTTGAATGGATGTGATTAATTTATATCTTTAGTGTGATCATGCAGAGAAATGTATGAGAGATAGTGATGGAAAATTACAGGAAATCTGAAAATTTAATAAATTGTTGGCATTTTTATTTTCTCACTAGTACAGGGTTCATCTCAGTAATTATGAAATGTACTACCCTTTTCTCCTTTTCTATCTTATTTTGGAAAATTACAGCCTTATAATAGAGATCAGAAATGTGTTAACATTATGGCTGATCTATCTGACAACAGTGTTCTAAGAAAACAGTATCACAAATATACTTTCTCACCATAATTGTTCAAAACAGAAATTTTGTAAGCAAAGAATCAAGCATTTAAACCAAAGGAAAGTTAGAGTGATGTCATCTCTGGTTGAAAAACACAGTCTTTCTGAACAGATTTTCAATGTCCTTCAAGACCATAACTAATATAAAATTACAGAATACGTTTGCTAATAATATGAACTGTACACTTTTTATATGAAAATGATGCTTGCTACAACATGACTTAACTAAACTGGATTTCTGCAAAAGATAAAACACCAGGCATGGTTGCTCACACCTGCAATCCCAGCACTTTGGGAGTGCTGAGGCAGGGAGGATCACTTGAGTCCAGGACTTCGAGACCAGCCTGGGTAACATAGTGAGACTCTGTCTCTTAGGAAAGTAAAAAAATAGCCGGGCATGATGAAGCATGACTGTAGTCTCAGCTACTTGGGAGGCTGAGGTGGGAGGATCACTTCAGCACAAGAGGCTGAGGCTGTGGTGAGGTACGATTACGCCCCCGCACTCCAGCCTGGATGACAGGGCCAGACTTTGTCTCAAAATATATGAAAGTAGATAAAATTAGTTTACTTGCTGAACATAATCAAATATAGCAACTTTCCAGTAAAAGACTATTAGGACAAACTATGTTAACACAACCTCAGATGATGCAGCATAGTTAAAACAAAACAAAACAGCTTTGGGCATATTCTATACTCCAACCTCTGTGGTGCAAAGGGACTATATGGCCAACTAGGTGTTGAGGCGGTCACAGAACTGCTGCACATGTGGTTTTTAAACAAGATTTTTAATTCCCCCTAAAGTGGAAGAAGTCATCTAACAAAATTTATTATGACTTAAATTGCTACTTCTTTATTTAGTTTTTCTCAAACTTTAACAAAATAAATTATGTAGTAAATTATAGTCATTAAGCTTGAAAAATGTTTCAATTGAATGGGAAAACTTCCTGTGATAAAGCCTCCAATCGTCAAGGAATAAGTCAATATATTTTACCCATAAATTTTCCAACATGTTAAGCACTAAGCTTTTAACTAAATAGCTAAGGTGAAATTGTTGCCACTGAATGCAACACATATACTGCCTTTTTAAATAACACCTACTACTTATCTTGATTCCAATTCATCACTAAACATCACTTGTATAATTTGATCACAGTGATGTCCTCAGAGACGGTTGTATGCAGAATCCTATAAATTGTCTCAAGCTGCTATGTTTTTAATGTTCACCTTAAGTTTATTTTTGTTCCCATGCCTTGCTGTCAGCTGTCACATTTTATAGTTCACCCCTTCTGCAAGACCCTTTCGATACTTGTGATTTGTTAGGAAGCAGAAATCAGATAACCTAACTTGTTAGAATTCTATGTGAAGTAAGAATAAGTAGACTCTGGGTAGCTGCTGCCTCTACCATTAAAATTCTTTAAAAAGGAAGACTTTTCAGTTACCACTTAATTTGAACTTGACTTACCTAGACTACTATTAGTTGATATTAGTTTAACAGAGGGAAAATTGTTAATAAAGTAGATCTAATATGTAAACACATATATTATTCCCTTGTTCTGGATCTATCAATGATTTCATACTTTGACTATATCTAAATTATCTGCTTTTCCTGGCCTTCAAAGTGGTCTTTAATTCAGCCCTGCTTTCCATGGGTTAAATTTCCTACAATGCTGAGATGTTTATATTGGTTTCCTCCTGTCCTATGAAATTTGTACTGATTTCTGCCCCAATAAATTTGATTAGATGAAGAAAAAAATACTTTTTTTTTTTTAAGATAGGGTTTCACTCCTGTTGCCCAGGCTGGAGTGCAGTGGCACAATCTTGGCTCACTGCAACCTTGGCCTCCTCAACTCAAGAGATTCTTGTGCCTCAGCCTCCCGAGTAACTGGGACTACGGGTGCGCCATTGGTGCCCGGTTAATTTTTGTATTTTTTTGTAGAGATGAGATCTCACCATGTTGCCCAGGCTGGTATGGAACTCCTGAGATCAAGTACTCCACCCACCTCAGCCTCCCAAAGTGCTGAGATTACAGGTGTGTAGTCACTGCACCAAGCCAATGAGGCAATCACTTCTGAATAAAGTACAAGCATTAGTAACATCTCCCCTGGTCTCTCCAGATTGGTTATGCTGCCACAACTGAATTCTAAATGGGTTAAGTGTTATACAATTAGTTAAGTTTCTTTGGTAGGTATCAAATAAAACATCCACCTAAATTCTTAAGAACCTTGTTAAATAGTGCAATTTACAAACTCTTTATACAGATTCTGATAGCACATTTCTATTGGAAGACTATGGAATCACAATGAGGAAGGTAGTACTATATAGATCAGCAGCTGGCTTAATTGGCTTCCTGTAACTTATTAACAAATTAGGTTACAAAATACAAAGGCAACTTAATGAATCATCATATTTGGCATTGAACTCAAAGCTGAATTGTGTGAATTGTGAGATGCTTTCCATAATTCAACTTGCTTAATTACCCATATGAATTAATCATTCATACCTCAAGCCTGCTAACACTTTTGGATACCTGATGTTTATGTAATGGTGGTGCTCATTTGCTGAGTAAGGCATGAGTAGTTTCCTAGGTAAGCAGAAGTAGCCGTCAAAACAATCATAATGTGACACAGTAACAACAAGGCTGTATTTTGAAGGCTCTAGAAACCCAAGACGTATTTCAAGAGTCAAGTTACTTTTTCTTTTCCTTTACCACTTATCCTCAAGTTCTACAAGTTACTTATACTGTATCAATTCAAATACATTTGGTTATTAGATATCTATTTTTTAAAGATGGACAAGATAAAATTGTGTAAATTTACAAGAAGTAATGGAAACTGCTAATAATGCTTATTTAAAAGAGTTATTAAAGCAACAGCTTACTACCAACTGTAGGCTTCTGAAAAATTTGCACAAGTGGGAAAAGATATGGGCATAGCATATTTTAACAACTGAAAATGTGGCAGGGAAAAAGTCTTTATTCTGAGAGTATAACCATCTTACTTTTGGGGTATTAAAATTACCTTTTATGAGATAATTCATTTTCAATGTTATTTGACAAAATTCAAAGTTGGTCATTCATTTTAGTCTCCTCATTTTTAGTAAATTTGCCTCCTGTAAAATCTAAGTTATGGGAACGACTAGAACATGTGTGAAAACAAGTTGCTGTGAGACGCAGTGACAGATTTTACAAAAAGAAAAGCATTTCATGACCACAGACCAGGATATCCAAAATTTTGGTGAGCTGGATTTTTTCCAAAGTCTGGTGACCAACTGTGGAAAAATAATTGGTTAATCTGACAGTGAGGCCCCTTAACAGTATTGAAGAAAATGTATCCAAAAAAGTGCCCAGAGTCAAAGAAGTGAGAGCAATGCTGTATTTATCCCCCACTGACATGTGAGGAAAGAGCAATAATTTTGGACATACACCTTGTAAAACTTCTCAGAAACCAGACTACATTTCTAACTCTAAAATACATGCTGCTGGTCATGAAGATGTTCTGATCATATAATTGAACCTACTGACATTACATGTAATAAATTAAAAACACAAGTACCATGCTTAGTGTACTGTCTGGTACATACGAGTTCTCAATAACAATTAGTTTTATTTCTAGAAGGATTACCTCTGCCTCTTGTACCTTCTTATAAAAAGAAAGCAAAGTGAACTGAATAAATTGTATCTTAAATAGACTAAAGAAAAGCTTTTGTATTTGTCTTTTCTCAACTAAGCAGTTTCCATAGTGCCTAGCAAGGTCTCAGAAATGTACTCAGTGAAGAGGGTTAAATGGTAACTCTTTCAGAACAGAAAGGATTCCCTACAGAGTCCAGCAGAGGCAGAGCACTATTTTGCCCAGCCTGGCCTTGAACTCCTGGGCTCCAGCACTGCAGCCATCCTCCCACCTCAATCTTCTCAGCAGTTGGGACTACAGGCCTGTGCCATGGCACCTGGCTAAGGATAGCTATTATGAGAGTAGTAATGTAAGATGAAACTAAAAAGACTCATAATAGTAGGATTAAAAAGCACAAAAATTTTAAAGATTCTCCGGTACATTTATTTCACAAACTTTTTTGTACAGTTGACCCTTACACATGGGTTTGAACTGGGTGGGTACACTTATGCGCATACTTTTTTCAATCAAATGCAGGTGAGGTCACACAGATCAGCATTTGTGCATGGGATGTGAAACTCATGTGTACGGAGGGTCAATTGGAGGGCCAACTTTTCTACATATGGGTTCTGCAAGACGTTCTGTGAGACTTGAGTATGGGCAGATTTTGGTATATGTGTGGCCCTGGAACTAGTCCCCAGTGTATACAAGGGATGACTGTATTTTAATGGTTTATAGTGTTAAAAAGAGAAAAATGTCCATGTAACCACAATTTTGGACACTGAACTATTTTAATATGAATTAATATGTCTTATATTTATTACCAATTGATCTTCAAATTGCAGCAGCCCATGAGTTAGGTTTTAAGTGTTCTTGCCATTCCACCCCAGCTCTCACTGAGTCAAACAGTTTAAAATATACACACACAGAAGCAGACACAAGCCTTTTGTAAAGTAAACAAATCTTTTTTACTGTAAATAACTGTTCCTCAATGGAACTTTTTGTATCCAGTTTACTCTTTTCTAAAGCTGGGATATTCATATTAAATACCCAACAACCTCTGTAAAGCAAAGAGTCTATCTCTGTGAAAACACAAGTAATTCTTGATGGCAATATTTTTCTTTTTTTTTTTTTTTTGAGACGGAGTCTCGCTGTCGCCCAGGCTGGAGCTCACTGCACACTCCGCCCCCCGGGGTTCACGCCATTCTCCTGCCTCAGCCTCCCGAGTAGCTGGGACTACAGGCGCCCGCCACCTCGCCCGGCTAATTTTTTGTATTTTTAGTAGAGACGGGGTTTCACCGTGTTAGCCAGGATGGTCTTGATCTCCTGACCTTATGATCCGCCCGCCTCGGCCTCCCAAAGTGCTGGGATTACAGGCGTGAGCCACAGCGCCCGGCCCAATATTTTTCTTAATTCACCTAAACAAATGCAGTTTGGAAGGCCAAAAGGAGAAAAAAACACTTCAGATTATCAAAACCAAAAGAGATATGAAAAAATAACATATTTAACAATGTAGGTGGGAATTTTAAATACAAGATCCTGTTGAAAATATTGATATTCAAAGAAACAAACAGCTTTGGATCCATAGCCACAATTTAGGTTTTCCTAGATTAAAATCAGAAGTGATTTTATTGTTGGAAGATACATTAATTCTTTGAAATCAGAATAAGAGGCTTGACAATTTAATTTCTAATTAAGAGACTGAATAGACAAAGGATCAAATACAAACAGTAGTGCAGGAAGAAAATAAATTGGAAGAAATATTTGTTCAACCAGTAGTAATAATTAAGACCACCATTTTAAAATTTTCTATACACAAAGAATGAGAAAATATTGTTAAAATATTATTATTATACTTCTTTCTTTTTCAGTATTAGTGGACCCACATTATCTCCTGTCAATTCATTGTGTTTATTATGTGAATCATCACGGGCAGGAAACTAAAAAGAAAAAAGAATTACAAGTGTTAATTTTAAAATATGATTCATTAGGTAGAAACATTTGTGAAATGCTCTCAGAAAGAAAGAATATCACTTGCTAAAAAAAAAATCAGATCGTTTTCCTGAGTAATAGTTACATTTTACATCCAACTGAACCATATTCAAAATCTAACAATTTAAACAGTTACTTCATTATTTGGTTTAGATTTTAAGTAAAAACATATGAATGATTCCATATGAGTGATTAAAACAGACAACAGGTTTAAAAGGGAATCAAATAAGTTATTGGTCATTTGTGGAGCTTAAAATTCCAGCTCACCTATTGCTTAATTTTAAAACAATGGACTTTAATTCAAAATAAATTATAATTTTTTCTTGCTATAAAACTCATGCATACCACACAATTTTTGAAAATAAAAATATATTTTAGGCTGTGTGCGGTAGCTTATGCCTGTAATCCCAACACTTTCAGAGGCAGAGATGGACAAATCACTTGACATCAGGAGTTCAAGACTAGTCTGGCCAACATGGCAAAACTGCATCTCTAACTAAAAATACAAAAGTTAGCTGGGCGTGGTGGCATACGCCTGTGTCTCGGGTACTTGGGAGGCTGAGGTGGGAGAATTCCTTGAACCCAGGAGGTGGAGGTTGCAGTAAGCTGAGATCATGCCATCGCACTCTAGCCTGAGTGACAGAGCAAGACTCTGTCCCCGCAAAAATAAATAAAGAATAAATAAAAATAAATTTAAAAAAGTTCACTCATAACCCATCCAGATATAGGTAATAATAATTAACAGTTTGTTTATCAAACTCCCGCTTGGGGGAGTGGGCATGGCCCAGCAGCAGGCGTGCCTTACTAGTGAAAAAGCTGGGGTTGGAGCTGGCACGGGGGAGGTGTGGGGGCCCTAGGGGGCTCTGCTTGGACCTTCTGGGTGTCCTCCTGTGACCTCAGGTTCCTCACCTGTCTCAGAGGACTGATGGGCTGCTATGGCAGGGTTGTTTGGAGGATTAAGACAGATAGTCCCGGTAAAGCCCCATTAGCCACACACCCCCACTCCCCGCCCTCTGGATTTTTATTATTATTATTATTATTTTTCTGTCTTTCTGAGGAAACTTTCCAGAATGTGTCCAGGTGTTGAAGCGGGAAGGCTGGACACCCTCCCTTGGCGTCGCGGTTCCTTCCAGACACCCCCTCTTCTTAGGCTTTTTTCAAGCGCACACCAGGCAACATGTGCTCTACCCAAGTGTGCTTCACAGATCTTCCTGTGGGTCTAAAACCAGAACGCTTTCTTCCCTGACCCCTGCCCTCATATCATCTCAACCCCAAGTCTTTTGGCAGAGCCGGCTACGGACTCGAGTGTCAGTTTAATGCTTGTCCCCTAAGGTCTCTCCAGGGCTCTTAGGACGGCGTTAGGGTTAGGATTCGGGTTCGGTGCGCCTCTTGGTGCCCTGCGCTGGCGCTGTGTGCCTTTGCGAGGGCGGAGCTGCGTTCTCCTCAGCACAGGATGAGGTGTGTTCTGCTCAGCACAGACCCGGGGGGCCACCGCGAAGGCAGAGCAGCGTTCTTCTCAGCACAGACCTTGGGGGCACTGCCTCGCTTTGGGACAACTCGGGGCCACATCGACGGTGAATAAAATCCTTCCTGTTTGCAGCGCTGAATAATCAGGGTCAGAGACCCGTTAGAAGGGTTCAGTGTGGAAAACGGGAAACCAAAAGCCCTTCTGAATCCTGCCCACCGAGGTTCTCCCCTGCCAAGGCGAGGCGGCTGCAGTGCGAGATCCACACCGCAGTCTCGGAAGACAAATGCAGGCCGGGCGCGGTGGCTCACGCCTGTAATCCCAGCACTTTGGGAGGCCAAGGCGGGCGGATCACGAGGTCAGGAGATCGAGACCATCCCGGCTAAAACAGTGAAACCCCGTCTCTACTAAAAATACAAAAAATTAGCCGGGCATAGTGGCGGGCGCCTGTAGTCCCAGCTACTTGGGAGGCTGAGGCAGGAGAATGGCGTGAACCCGGGAGGCGGAGCTTGCAGTGAGCCGAGATCCCCCCACTGCACTCCAGCCTGGGCGACAGAGCGAGACTCCGTCTCAAAAAAAAAAAAAAAAAAAAAGACAAATGCAGCATTCCTAATGCAGACATGACACGCAAAATATGACACCCCCATTGCTCATGTAAGAAGCACCTGTGCTAATGCACTGCCTCAATACAAAAACATTAATATAAGATCCAAAATCCCCTCACTGCCGTGCAGCCCTAAGACAGTGATCATAATAATCAACATAGTCATAGTCAATACTAATTTAGTAACGAACCTAGGGTTAAGGTTGGTGTTAGGGTTAGGGGTTAGGGGTTAGGGGTTAAGTTTAGGGTTGGAGATAGGAGTTGGGGTCAGAGTTAGGGGTTAAGAGTCAACGTTTAGAGTTAGGGGTTAAGAGAGGTTAGGGGTTAGGTATTTGGGGTTAGGGTTGGGTTAGGGTGAGGGTTGGGGTTAGGGGTTAGGGTTAGGGTTAAGGGTTAGAGATTAGGGTTATGGTCAGGGGTTAGGGGTCAGGGTCAGGAATTAGGGGTCAGGGTCAGGGGTCAGGGTCAGGGTTCCCACTCTGTTAGTTGTCTGTTTACTCTGCTGACTGTTCCCTTTGCCATGCAAAAGCTATTTAGTTTAATTAAGTCGCAGCTATTTAGCTTTGTTTTTATTGCATTTGCATTTGGGTTCTTGGTCATGAAATCCTTGCCTATGCCAGTGTCTAGAAGGGTTTATCCAGTGTTACCTTCTAGAATTTTTATAGTTCAGGAATTAGGTTTAAGTTCTTAATCCATCTTGAGTAGATTTTTGTGTAAGGTGAGGGATGAGAATCCAGTTTTATTCCCCTACATGTGGCTCGCCAATTATCCCAACATCATGTGTTGAAAAGGGTGTCCTTTCCCCACTTTATGTTTTTGTTTACTTTGTCAAAGATCAGTTGGCTGTAAGTATTTGGGTTAATTTCTGGGTTCTCTTTTCTGTTCCATTGGTTTATGTGCCTATTTTTAAACCAGTACCATGCTGTTTTGGTAACTATGGCCTTACTGTACAGTTTGAAATCACGTAGTGTGATGCCTCCAGGTTTGTTCTTTTTGCTTAGCCTTGGTTTGGCTACATGGCTCTCTTTTGGTTCCATATTAATTTTAGAATTGTTTTTGTAGTTCTCTGAAGAATGATGATGGTATTCAGATGGGGATTGCATTGAATTTGTAGATTGCCTTTAACAGAATGGTAATTTTCACAGTATTGGTTCTACCCATCCTTGAGCATGGGGATGCATTTCCATTTGTTTCTGTCATCTATGATTTCTTTTCTTTCTTGGTCTTTTTTTTTTTTTCAGAGGGAGTTTCGCTCTTGTCGCTGAGGTGGGAGTGCAATGGTGTGATCTCAGCTCACTACAACTTCTGCCTCCTGGGTTCAAGCGATTCTCCTGCCTCAGCTTCCCGAGTAGCTGGGATTATAGGCATGCGCCACTGTGCTTGGCTCCATCTGTGATTTCTTTCAGCAGTGTTTTGTAATTTTCATTGTAGAGGTCTTTTGATTCCTTTGTTAGGTATATTCCTAAGTTTTTTTTGTTTGTTTTTTTGTTTTTTGCAGCTATTGCAAAAGGGGTTGAGTTCTTGATGTGATTCTCTGCTTGGTAGCTGTTGATGTATAGAAGAGCTACTGATTTGTGTACAATAATCTTGTATCTGGAAACTGCAGAATTATTTTATCATTTCTAGGAGCTTTCTAGAAGAGTCCATAGGGTTTTCAAGGCAAAAGATCATATCGTCAGCAACCAGTGACAGTTTGACTTCCTGTTTACCGATTTGGATTTCCTCTATTTCCTTCTTTTGTCTGATTGCTCTGGCTAGGACTTCCAGTACTATGTTGAAGAGGAGTGGTGAGAGTAGGCTCCTCATCTTGTTGCAGTTCTCAAGGCAATGCTTTCACCTTTTCCCCATTCAGTATTATGTTGGCTGTGGGTTTGTCACAGATGGCTTTTATTACATTAAAGTATGTCCCTTGTATGCCTATTTTGCTGAGAGCTTTAATCATAAAGCAATGCTAGATTTTGTCAAATGCTTTTTCTGCATCTGTTGGTATAATCATGTGAGTTTTTTTTTAATTCTGTTTATTTGGTGTATCACATTTATTGACTTGCGTATGTTAAACCATTCCTGTATCACTGGTATGAAACCCAATTGATCATGGTGGATTATCTTTTTGATATGTTGTTGGATTCAGTTAGATAGTATTTTGTTAAGGATTTTGGCATCTGCGTTCATCAAGGATGTTGGTCTGTAGTTTTCATTTTTGGTTATGTCCTTTCATGGTTTTGGTATTAGGGTAATGCTGGCTTCATAGAATGAATCAGGGAGGGTTTCTTCTTTCTCTGTCTTGTGGAATAGTGTGAAAGGATTGGTATCATTTCTTCTTTGAATGAAAGAAGACATTCTTTGAATGTCTGGTAGAATTCTGCTGTGAATCTGTCTAGTCCTCGGCTTTTTTTGTTGGTAATTTTAATATTACCATTTCGATCTTGCTGCTTGCTTTATTGGTCTGCTTGGGGTATCTAATTCTTCCTGATTTAAGCTAGGAGGGTTTTATTTTTCCAGGAATTTGTCCAACTCTTCTAGGTTTTCTAGTTCATGTGCCAAAGGTGTTCATAGTACCCTTGAATAATCTTTAATATTTCAGTGGTGTCAGTTGTAATATCCCCTGTTTCCTTCCTTAGTGAGGTTATTTGGATTTTCTCTCTTCTTTTCTTGGTTAATCTTGCTAATGGTCTATCGATTTTATTTATCTTTTCGAATAACCAACTTTTTGTTTTATTTATGGTTTGTATTTGTTGTTGTTGTTGTTGTTGTTGTGTCAATTTCATTTAGTTCTGCTCTGATCTTGGTTATTTCCTTTGTTTGCTGGGATTGGGTTTGGCTTGTTCCTGCTTCTCTAGTTCCCTGAGATGTGAACTTAGATTGTCTGTTTGTGCTCTTTCAGACTTTTTGACATAGGTGTTTAGGGCTACAAACTTTCCTCTTAGCACTGCCTTTGCTGTATCCCAGAGGTCTTGATAGGTTTTGTCATCCAGTTCGAAGAAATTTTTTACATTTCCATCTTGATTTCATTTTTCACCCAATGCTCATTCAGGAGCAGGTTATTTAATTTCCATGTATTTGCATGGTTTTGAAGATTCCTTTTGGAGTTGATTTTCAGTTTTATTCCACTGTGATCTGAGAGAGTGCGTGATACAATTTCAATTTTCTTAAATTTATTGAGACTTGTTTTATGGCCTATCATATGGTCTATCTTGGAGAAAATTCCATGTGCTGTGGAATAGAATGTGTATTCTGTGGTTGTTGGATGAAATGTTCTGTATATATCTGTTAAGTCCATTTGTTCCAAAGTATAGTTTAAATCCAGTGTTTCTTTGTGGACTTTCTGTCTTGATGAACTGTCTAGTGCTGTCAGTGGAGTATTGAAGGCCCCCACTATTATTGTGTTGCTGTCTATCTCATTTCTTATGTCTACTAGTAATTGTTTTATAAATTTGGGAGCTCCAGTGTTAGGTTCATGTTTGTTTAGGATTGTCATATTTTTCTGTTGGATGAGGCCTTTACCATTATATACTGTCTGTCTTTGTCTCTTTTAGCTACTGTTGCTTTAAAGTTTGTTTTTTCTCATATGAGAATAGCTACCGCTGTTCACTTTTGGTGTCCATTTGCATGAAATGCCTTTTTCTACCACTTTCCTTAAGTTTATGTAAGTTGTTATGTGTTAGGTGAGTCTCCTGAAGGCAGCAGATAGTTAGTTGGTGAGTTCTTATCCATTCTGTGGTTCTGTATCTTGTAAGTGGAGCATTTAAGCCATTTACAACCAACATTACTATTAAAAAGTGGGGTACCATTGCTTTCATCATGCTGTTTGTTGCCTCTGTACATTGTTTTTGTTTTCTGTTTTTGCTTTTTCACTTGTATTTTTGTTTTATAGGTCTTGTGTGATTTATGCTTTAATGAAGTTCTGTTTTGATGTGTTTCCAGGATTTGTTTCATGATTTAGAGCCCCTTTTAGCAGTTTTTACAGTGCTGGTTTGGTAATAGCAAATTCTGTCAGCATTTGTTTGTCTGAAAATGACTGTATCTTTCCTTCATATATGATGTTTAGTTTTGCTGGATTCAAAATTCTTGGCTGATAATTGTTTTGTTTGAGGAGGCTGAAGAAAGGACCCCAATCCCATCTAGCTTGTAAGGTTTCTGCTGCAAAATCTGCTGTTAGTTTGATAGGTCTTCCTTTATAGGTTACCTAGTGCTTCTGTCTCACAGCTCTTAAGATTCTTTCCTTTGTCTTAACTTTGGATAACCTAATGACAATGTGCCTAGGCTAAGATCTTTTTGTGATGAATTTCCCAGGTGTTATTTGTGCTTCTTGTATTTGGATGTCTAGGTCTCTCACAAGGCCATGGAAATTTTCATTGATTATTCCCCCAAATATGTTTTCCTGGCTTTTAGAATTCACTTATTCCTCAGGTACACCAATTAGTCTTAGGTTTCATCGTTTAACAGAATGCCAGACTCCTTGGAGGCTTTGCTCATATTTTCTTATTCTTTTTTCTTTGTCTTTATTGGATTGGGTTAAATCAAAGACCTTGTCTTCGAATTCTGAATTTCTTTCTTCTACTTGTTCAATTCTATTGCTGAGACTTTCCAGAGCATTTCACATTTCTAAAAGTGCGTCCAAAGTTTCCTGATTTTTTTTTATTTAAGTTATCTATTTCCTTGAATGTTTCTCCCTTCACTTATTGTATTATTTTTTGGATTTTCTTGCATTGGGCTTCACTTTTCTCTGGCCCCTCCCTGATTAGTTTAATAACTAACCTGAATTCTTTTTCAGATAAATCAGTGATTTCTTCTTTGTCTGGTTCCATTGGTGATGAACTGGTGTGATTCTTTGGGGGTGTTGAAGAGTCTTGTTTTGTCAGATTACCAGGGTTGGTTTTCTGGTTCCTTCTCATTTTGGTAGACTCTGTCAGAGGAAAGGTCTAGGGCTGAAGACTGTTGTTCAGACTCTTTGGTCGCATGGAGTGTTCCCTTGACGTAGTACTCTCCCCCTTTTCCTATGGGCATGGCTTCCTGTGAGCCGAAGTGCATTGATTGTTGTCTCTCTTCTGGGTCTAGCCACCCAGCAGGTCTACCTGGCTTTCGGCTGGTACTAGGGGTTGTCTGCATAGAGCCCTGTGATGTGAACCATCTATGGGTCTCTCAGCCATGGATACCAGAGCCTGTTCCAGTGGATGTGGTGAAGGGTGCAGTAGATTCTGTGAGGGTCCTTAGCTTTAGTGGTTTAATGCTCTATATTTGTGCTGGTTGGCCTACTGCTAGGAGGTGGTGCTTTCCAGAAAGCATCAGCTGTAGTAGTGTGGAGGCACTGGCAGTGGGCAGGGACCTAGGACTCCCAAGATTATATGTCCTTTGTCTTCCACTACCAACTTAAACATTTGTGACAATTTCAATATCAGAAATTGATGTGTAATCGAATTTATTCTGGTAGCCTAAATTCTGGTAGCTTATTTTCTTATATCTTCAATCTTTATAATTTAGTTCTCACATGAGGGAGATCTAATATTGGAAATATTTTCAATCTGTATGTTTATGTATTTATTCTAGTTGTCCTGGCACAAGGTTATCAATGTTGCTGTGTGACCAGCCATTGGCTTTTCACATTTACAACTCCTCTGAATTTTTTCTTGCCTCATTTCTGGCACTGGGAAATTCTGATATTTTCTCCTCATCTCCATTGTACATTCTAGGGATTCTTGAAACTTTTGATGCACAAACATCCACACTTTCTGCATAAGTAAAATATTTTACTTAGATATTTTCTAGCGGACACTGAGTTCTCATGAGAAATCCTGTCTCTTTATTTGGAACACCCCCTCCCCAATATTCCATATGGAGTAGTTTTGTGTAGAAAGTGATTACTTCATTAATATGTCAAAGTATGGATACATTTTGAACACATTTCTGAAGTTGTAATACCTTTATTGATGAATAGTACCTGCGCATGACCAGAATTGTATTTTTAGTAGATACGGGGTTTCACCCTGTTAGCCAGGATAGCCTCGATCTCCTGACCTCGTGATCCGCCTGCCTCAGCCTCCCAAAGTGCTGGGATTACAGGCGTGAGCCACCGTGCCTGGCCAATCACATCATTCTTGTATTCACCTAGTGGTCGCTGTGTACCTCCCACGTCAGGCACTGTACTACCAGACACTGAGGATCCGGTGGGGAGCGAGAGGGACTTTAAGGACTGAGTCAGTAGGACATGGGCTGGTGGGATAGGGAAGGATGAGGGAGACAGAGGGTCAGATGATCCCCATGGTTCTGCCTGGGGCACCTGAAGGGAAGTCAGAAAGGAAGCCAGGTTGAAGAGTGATGGCAATGAGTTTTGTGTTTGGTCTGCAGGACAGAGATGCCGGGCTGCGGGGAGGACAGGTAGGAGGTGTGTGTCACAGGTAAAGGCAATTGCTCTGTGGGCCTGGGGTTTGATGGGAAGAGACGCTAAATCATGGTTCATGATTCTTTCTCAAAATTGTAATGCAAAGAGCCCTCATTGAATCTGCATTTTATAGCATGTACTGTGCAAGTTTCGGGGGTATCAGGAAGAAGAAACATGCTCCTTTGTCTCCTGAAGCTCACAGGCTAGTGGACATGGCAGACATGTAAGAGAAGGGAGAAGAGGTCAGTCCACAGAGAACAGCTTTGGGTTTACCTCTGATGCTGGCCCTGACCCAGATCAACCAAACCTAATGGAAACAGAGAGCTGAGAAAGCAGGAGAGTTAAGCTCACTGATGCTCGGATTTTACAGATGAATCTGGAGGCGGTTTCTCCCAGTGCTGACATCCAGGCACTGCGGGTGCCACAGAGAAACATGGAAGGGCCTTCTGGAGAACACCACACCCGGCATCCTTCCCCCTTTTAGAACTGGAGCGAGACAACCATGTGTGTTATCACTACTTTCTTTACAGTGTCGGTCTAACACCGTAATGGTCTGACAGTCCTGCAGGCTGGAAGCCCAGGATCACGGTGCCAGCAAGGTTGGTTTCTTCCAAGGCCTCTCTTCTGGGTGGTGGCCTCACGTGGCCTTTTCTCTGTGGGCACGTGCCCTTGGTGCTTCCCACCACTTTTTTCCAAGTTCACGCTGATCCCTTGAATCAGTTATCACTCCCCCACTTGTTTTCCAGCTTCTGTGATGTTCCTGGCAGGCGCTCCTCTCACTCTCTGCTGTGAACTCTTCCCTTTTACATCTGCAATCCCTTTGCATTCCTTTTAGTGGTGTTTGGAGGAGAAGCAAGGGCTGAAGTTGTTCCCACTCATGTCTTTCGCCCCCCAGGTGCCCCTGATGTTTCAGCTCCCAGTGGTGCCTGCAGGGAGATCCCTCTGTATTTCATAATATTATTTCTATTTTTTATACTTTTTTTTTTGAGATGGAGTTTCACTCTTCTCGCCCAGGCTGGAGTGCAGCGGTACGATCTCGGCTCAATGCGACCTCCACCTTCCAGTTTCAAGCAATTCTCCTGCCTCAGCCTCCCAGGTAGCTGGGATTACAGGTGCTCACCACGATGCCCAGCTAATTTTTGTATTTTTAGTAGAGATAGGGTTTCATCATGTTGGCCAGGATGGTGTCTAGCTCCTGACCTCAGGTGATCCACTAGCCTTAGCCTCCCAAGGTGCTGGAATTACAGGCGTGAGCCAC
The DNA here is from genome assembly GCF_000001405.40 of Homo sapiens. Classification (NCBI taxonomy): domain Eukaryota; kingdom Metazoa; phylum Chordata; class Mammalia; order Primates; family Hominidae; genus Homo; species Homo sapiens. The sequence goes on along the minus strand of NT_187383.1, from coordinate 632,661 downwards.
TGCACCTGGCCACACTTTTTTTTTTTTAGTTTCCTTGTAGTACTGCTTGGGCTACATGGCTTAAGCTTTTGTACATAGTTTTCATTGTTTGGTTCTAAATGCTTTTAGATTTTCATTCTAATTCTTCTCGGACCAGTGCATTTTTTTTTAATTTAAAAAATAATTTAATTTAGTTTTATAGAGATGGGGGGTCTCACTGTGTTGCCCAGGCTGGTCTGGAACTCCTGGGCTCAAGGGATCCTCCTGCCTTGGCCTCCCGAAGCTCTGGGATTATAGGTGTGAGCCACCGTGCCTGGCCAGTAGTGTATCTTTAAATTTCCAAACCTAGGGGAGCCCTTAATTTTAGTTTGGTTGCCAATTTATGCCTTTATTCTGTTGCATCAAGAACATGGCTGGTGTGATGCAAGTTCTTTTGCTATTTGTTGAGTCTTGTTTTGCAGCCTAGGACATGGTGAGTGTTAGTAAATGTCCAAGGTGAACTTGAAAACAATGTGTAGTCTGTAGTTTTTGGGTGTCCACTAAATCAAGTTTGTTCAACTTTTCCATATTCTTTTTTTTATTTTTATTTTTTGACAGAGTCTCACTCCGTTGCCCAGGCTGGAGTGCAGGGGCACGATCTCAGCTCACTGAAACCTCAAGTTCAAGTGATTCTCCTGCCTCAGCCACCCAAGTAGCTGGGATTACAGGCATGAGCCACCACATCTGGCTCATTTTTGTATTTTTTTATTTTAGTTTCAGCATGTTGGCCAAGCTGGTCCCAAACTCCCGACCTCAAGTAATCTGCCTGCCTTCGCCTCCCAAAGTGTTGGGATTACAAGCATGAAACACTATGCCTGGCCTAATTTTTCTATATTCTTCCTAATTGAGTCTGCTTAAACGAGCAGTTCCAGTGAGAAGTGGTATAATTTCCTGCGTAGAGAATGTGCTCATTTATTAATTTTTCCTTTTCTTGACACTTTTTTGTTTTGTAGTCATTTGAGGCTCTATTGTTATGCAGGCACACACAAGATCAGAATGGCTAATGCTTCCATTTTTTTTTTTTCCTGTCGCCCAGGCTGGAGTGTAATGGCATGATCCTGGCTCACTGCAACCTTCGCCTCCCAGGTTCAAGCAGTTCTGCCTCAGCCTCTCTAGTAGCTGGGACTACAGGCATGAGCCACCATGCCTGGCTAATTTTGTACTTCAGTAGAGATGGGGTTTCACCATGTTGTTCAGGCTGGTCTCGAACTCCTGACCTCAGGTGATCTGCCTGCCTTGACCTCCCAAAATGCTGGGATTACAGGCGTGAGCCACCATGCCTGGCCACTAATACTTCTTTTAAAATAATTAAATTATTTATGTATTTATTCTTTTTCCCCCACCCCTCCCCCACCAGTGAATGCTTTGGAATGAATACTCATCAGTATGCTGCAACCACTTTTAATCCTAATAATGATTTTGCCCTGGAGCCTACTTTGTGCGATATGAGCTTCTCTCCACTAGCTTCCTTTTGGATGGTCTTTGCCAGATGTGTCTCCTTCTATCTGTAGTAATTAGAGCCATTCCAAGTATGTGTCAAAAATAAACAAAAGGGGCTTATGACCAAGCATGGGCGACTTACACAATCGTCAAAAGAAATGGAAGAACAACTCCCAGCCCTCCGAATCAGCCACCTCCTGGGATCAGGAATAAATCCTAATCTCAAAATACAGGTAAACAGTCTACCTCCTGTCCCCTAAATGAGATGCCAAGCATGCCCCTCCCCTCAGCCAGGCTGTCTCCATCCAAACTTCAATGACCACTGGCCTCCCTGCTGACCCATGTCCCACTGAGGAGCCCCAAGCTCTGAACCAACTGCCTACGCACCATCCCCTCGGGCTGCACCTGCTCCCCAGGCCTGCCCCTCCTTTGGAGCTGCCTCTGTCCACCAAGGGTGCTGTCGCTCACCTAACCTTCCAACCAGAACCCAGTGGTACCTTGCTGCCCCCTCCACTCCCTGAAGAAGCTGCCCCCATGCCTGTCAAGTTCTTCCAACTGCTCAAACCTTCTGGAACTCCAGGCCTCAGCATGTCTTGTCTGGGTGGCTGCAATGGCTAAGCTTGCTTCTCTGTCTCTCTCCATCAGTCAGTCAACCAATCAATCGATCAGTCATCTATCAATCAGCTATCCACCTATTAATCTATAATCAGTAATCTATTAATCTATATAATTTACTTCTATAATCAATCATTGATCTATCCCATGTATCTTCCTATCTACCCTTTATCATGTTTATCCATCTATCTATCATTTATGCCTCTATCATGTCTATCTTTCAATAATTTATCTATCACCAGGCACAGTAGCATGTGCCTGTAGTCCCAGTAACTCAGGAGGCTGAGGCAGGAGGACTGCTTGATGCTAGCAGATCAAGTCCAGACTGGGCAAGATAGTGAGATCTCATCTCTAAAAAAAATTTTTAAATCATCTATCATCGCTCTCTATTCATCTATCTATCCATGTATCTATCATGTATTTTATCTGTCACTTAGCACCTATGAATCATCCATCATCTATCAATCAATTATCTATATCATGTCTATATATCTATATATCTATGTATCAATTTATCCATCAATCATCTATCTGTCTGTTTTTGAGGGGATATTCACAAAATATACAATCAATCCCTTTAAAGTGCACAATTCAGTGGCATTTAGTATGCTCTATAGTTCCAGAACATTTTCTTCGAAATAAAAAGAAACGCGAGGCTGAGTGTGGTGGCTCATGCCTGTAATCCAGCACTGTGGGAGGCTGAGGCAGGACGATCGCTTGAGCTCAGCAGTTTGAGACCAGCCTGGGCAACATAGTGAGATCCTGTCTACAAAAAAAAAAAAATCACAAAATTAGTAGGGTATGGTGGCACACGCCTGTGGTTCCAGCTACTCAGGAGGCTGGGGCAGGATTGCTTGAGCCCGGGAGATCAAGGCTGCAGTGAGTTATGACTGCACCGCTGCATTCCAGCCTGGGTGACACGGTGAGGCCCTGTCTGTCTCATTAAAAAATAAAAAATAAATACAAAATTTTTTAAAAAGGACTGCCCCTGCCCCATTTTCCTTCCCCTGCCCCAGCCTCTGACACCCACTCATCTGCTTTCTGTCCCGATGAGCCTATTCTGGACATTTGTGTCTGGCTTCTTTCACCCAGAACGAACTCTTTGAGGTCTATCCGTCGTGTTATGGTGGAATGGCACCACGCCTTATGGACAGGCTGTTTGTCCATTTGTCTGTTGATGAATACTCAGGCTGTCCCACCTTTGGGAGGCTATGGCCATCCATGCATAAAGGTATGGCCGCACAGCTGTTCTCAGTTCTCATGCCTCTGAGGCCAGATGGGCTGCCACACCCTATTCCCACCAGCCACCCTCACATGCAGCCAAGTGGCCTGCAGTACTCGACACTGCTTCCCTGTTGCTGAAAGCTCCTCGGTGGCCTCTGGGCTAAGTCCTGTCTCTGTAGTGTGGCCTCCAAGGCCCGCCAGCTGCAGCCCTCCCTTCCCCTGCCCTCCCTTCCCCTGCATGCAGCACGAACACCCTGCAATGTGCTCCCAGTTCCCCCCAGGCCCCTGCACAAGTGGCCTCCTCTCCCTAGAAGGGCCAGCAGCACCCTGTGTGGCAGCTTAGACATCCTTTCTCTTGCCTTCGTGCTCCTCCCACAGGGACCAGCATGATCCCGTCCCCTAGTCCTATTTGGGCTCAGCCAGTATTTCTGTGCAATGTTGTTGCAGGTTCTGCCCCGCCACCGTCACAGGAATCCTAAGAACATTGGCGTGAGGCTCGGTGGAGGGCATGTTGGGCCATGTCTTCTGGTGACTTTCCCCCACGGAAGGGCTTGGGGATCAGGCCCACTCCTTTCCCAAACTCACTCTTTCCCCCACAGGCAACCCACTCCCTCTCCTCCATCTCACCCCAAGACCCGCAGCAGACACCACCAGACTCTGAGGCAGGGAGGAAGGACTGCATTTGCCAATGGAGGCTTTTACTGGGGGGGACTCGGGATGGCGCCCGGCCTGAGGGCTGAGGGCCCGGGAAAGGCACACTGTGGCGGTGGGGTCTCTCTCAGGAAGGCGCTGGCTCTGCAGACAGCTCCGCCTGGTGACCCCTCTTTGGCACTGAGCTGGGAACATGGTGTCCGCACTCCCGGCTAGCAAGCAGAGGCCCGTGTGGTCAGGTGGCGGCTGGCAGTGTAGGCTGGCGGGGTGACGGCCACAGGGGCTGGGTTTGACACCAGTGGGAGCCGGGGCCCTAGGGGACTCAGAGGCTGGGCAGCCCCCGCTGCTGGCAGGGTAGTCACATTGGCCACGGAGATGGCTACAAATAGGGAATCCAATAAATTAGGCTGTAGAAAGAGGAGGTGAGGGGCCGAGGGGGCGGGGCCTACATTCTCGCTTGGCAGGCAGTGCTGTGCGTCCCTCTCCCGTGGGATCTTCGGGGCTCTTGTGGGGGAGAGGATGCCGGTGAGGCGCTCTGTGTGACTGTGGGTACCACTGGGTGGCTTTTATGGCATCGCATGGGATGGGAGCCTTGGCTGGCCACCCTCAAGGGATGGATCGTGGGGTCTTTGAGAGACTGACGAGGAGGGATGCCACCTGCAGCGCCAGGGGCTGTGGCCTGAGGGGCTCCTGGGGCTCGGCTGCGCTGCTGTGCGGCCAGCACTGGGCCCCTTGCACTCCAGCTTCCTCCACGGAGCAAAGTAGAGGACTCACTGCCCTGGACAGGGCCCAGTAACTGTGGAACAGCCCCCCCCCCAGGGAGTGGGAGGGACAGGGCGAGGGTTACGCAGGGCGCCACCCTCCTCATCTACTTTCCCGAGGTCGGGAAGGGTCTTCTAGGAGGAGGGGCCAGGCATGCAGGGGCGGGGTGCGTGCGCAGGTGGGTGCTGCTATCTCCTTCATGTGATCCGAGCTTGGGGGCGGGGCAGGGGCTGGGGAGAGTGGTGTCAGGTGGAGGCACCCTGGAGGCCACCAGGGCCTTGTGGGCTAGGTGCCGGCACGTGCGCTGGGGCCGCGGCCTCGCCCAGGATTTGGCAGAGCTCCTGGAGGTGCTGCTGCATCTTGGGAATGCCCGCCAGCTGCTGCTCCAGCCGCTGCTTCTCCTCTGTCAGGCTCAGGCGGGCAGCCGAGCCCAGCTTCTCAAACTTCCAGCCGCCCTCCCCATCGAACTGTAGCAAGTGTGTGTGGTACTTCCTGGCCAGGAGAGGGACAGGGTCAGGGGCATGGCACGAGGGCTGCTGATGACAGCCGCCTGCTGCTGCCGCCGGGCCCAACAGGCCACCTCCTCCCCTCAGGCAGCCACTCCCACTGACCCCAGGCAGGGAGACAGGGCACCTACCACAGGGAGGGCCGGTGGGTGATGGAGAGCAGGGCAATGCCTGCGTCCTTGGCCGCCTGGAAGATCTTGCCTTCCACGTTGATTCTCATGGCGGCACTGGTGCATTCATCCAGGAGGGTGTACTTGGGCCTGGGGGTCTGGGCCGAGAGGAGAGTCTGTGCATCCTCCAGGGCCCAACACCCCAGCCTGGCTCAGGCTTCACTGAGCCCAGGCCTCCCCACAGCTGCTACTTCTCCTTCCAGGGGACCCCAGGGAGCCTGCCGGCCTGGAGTGCTCACCTGTGGTAGAACATGCGGGCCATGCCGATTCTCTGCTTCTCGCCACCCGGCGGGACGTCCTTCCAGTCACACATAGCCTCCTAACCTAGGCAGGGGCAATGGTCTTGGCTCAGTTCCACCAGTACCCAGACCTGGGGGCCAGCCGGGGAGCTGGGGCAGCTGTGGGAATGAGCTAGCTGTGACGACAGGGCCCCTGTGCCTATGCGCCCTTGTCTGTCTGACAGACATTAATCATGGAGGAGTGGGGACTGGAATTGTGCCTTCCCCTAGAAGAGATATGGTGGAGTCCAAGCCCCAACACTTCAGTGTGACCTTATTTGGAGACAGGGCCTTCGCAGAGGTGATCACACTAAGATGAGGTCATCAGAGCAGACCCTAATTCAATATGACTATGTCCTCATAAAAAGGGGGTGTGCGGGCAGAGGACGTGCACAGGGGAACACGAGGTGAAGATACACAGGGAGAAGTGGACCATCTGCGAGCCAAGGACAGAGGCCTGGAACACATCCTTCTGTCATGGCACCTGGAAGGAACCCACCCTGCTAGTACCAGGATCTCGGGCTGCTGGATCCAGGAGATGATCCACCCCTGTGGTTTATGGCAGCCCCAGGACACCCATACAGTTTCTTGGCACAGAGCTCCAGAGCGGCCTGAGTGCTCTCCCCAGACCGGGGGCTTGTCACCCACAGGGGTTGGGCCTCCTGTCACTGCCCCGTGCCAGCACTTTGGCAAGGCTCGAGTGGGCTGCTTGAACGAGCAGGTGAGCTGGCTGCTCCATTAGGCCGGGGCGCTGTGTCAGAAGTAGCCCCTCCTGTCTTCTCACCCATGCTGCCTTCCCCAGCAGCCCAGGGCTAGAAGTGGCGACAGGGTATATGGCCACCCAGAGTAGAGATTACACTTCCCAGGTGGCCTTGTGGTGAGGTGTAAGCATGAGACTAAGTTGTGGCCAATGAGATATAACCGTAACTATTCAATATGGCGGCTTCTGGAACCTTCCTTAAAAGATAGAAGGCACATACCTTTTGCCCCTTCCCTTCTACTTCCTCCATCCTATAGCCTGGGACATGATGTGAGGGCTGCAGCAGCCCTCTTGGATCATGAGGTGACTTTGGGAATGGAGGCCACACACAGCAGAGTGACATGGTAGAAAATCCTAGAGCCTTGGGGCCTTCACAGAGCAGGGCCAGCCCTGGCAACTGTGGCCTGGCTCTCTTGGGACCTAACAGCTCAGTAGGATAAACTCACAGATGATCTTAGCCACTACTGCAGGGAGGCCGGTTCTGTTCCTCGCAGCTCAACTCCATCCTAACGGCTCATGCTGGCCGGCCACAGGCCCTGGGCATTCAGGCTGCCACAGAGGCGGGAGGGGCCATGTGCTCCCAGGCCGAAGGCAGCAGGAGCAAGAGGCAGGGCCGGGCCAGGGGCTGTTCCACCACCATCGCCACCTGTGTTCCCGCTTCCTCCACAGGCAGGTGACAACACCCTGGTCATTTCCTGCAGGAGCCACTTCTTCTCATGTTGCCACCGAGGGAGGGCTTGGTGCCCATGCCCTTGAACCATGAAGGGGAGCCCCAGCAAGGCGAGGTCCTTGCCCAGGGCCATCTCACACCCAGCAGTGGGGGCTGGAAGCAGAACCCAGAGGCTCAGAATTCAAAGACAGAACTGAACGCTCCATCTACTGTGTCCCTGTAGCTGCACCCCCCTCTCCTCCTCCGTTCTCCCGGCCCGACAGACACTGTGGACAAGCAGTATTCCTTGATAAGCCCAGGACAAGAAAACAGCTCAGGCTGGCCTCCTTTTCAGTGAACTCATCTCTGAATCCACCCGACTCTGCTGGCCCCAGCCCCCTCCAAGCTTCTGCACAGACCTCCTGACGGTAGCCATCACTGCACACATGTGCCTACCCCTCCCAAGCTGCCCCTGCCCACCGCCCCATGGTCTTTCCAAGAGCGTCTGATCCCGCTCAGGGAAAGCCTAGGCTCCCGCCTGGTCCGGAGGGCCCTCTGTGAGCCAGCCTCTCACACCACCAAGCCTGCGGGCCGCACTCTGCCCTGCTGCCCCTGGCTCCTGGACGGGGTAACCACTCAGCATTCTGCAGGGCTCAGCTCAGACCCCTTTTCTCTGGGAGAGGGTATCCTGGGTCCCCCAATGAGGTGCGCATCCCTGCTAGGTGCCCCCTTCCCTAGAGCACCCATGCCAGCTGGGGCCATCTGTGTGGTGTTGGTCCTCCCTGGTAGGCGGGCCTCAGAGGTAGCACCCTCTGCCCTGCCCCTGTGGCACCTGGCACTTTAGACTCCTGGATGTTGAGATAATCTTCACTGCCTGGAGGCCAAGGGAGAGGCCAGGGTGGGACAAAGGGCGGCTGCTAGCCCCAGGCCTCCTACCTCCCTCCCGCTGCAGGATGTAGTGCAGGTGCATGATGTCCAGGATGGCTTCCAGGTCCTGCTCTGAGTAGCCCTTCCTTCGCATGTCCTCCACTGAGTCCGGGTAGGTCACCTGGTCACGCAGGGAACCCACAGACATGTAGGGCCTGTGGGAAAGCTGGGTGTCCACGGAGGGAAGGGCCAGCCCTGCCTCCCCCAAGATACTCTGCGCCTCCCAGGCAGTGTAGATTCTGTCTGCTGTAGACAAAATAGTGGCCCCCCAAAAATGTTCATGTCCTAATTCCCAGAGTCTAACATACAAATATGTTAGATGGCATGGCAGTGGGAAATTAGATTTCAAGTGAAATTAAGGTTGCAAAGGTGGCGGGAGCAAAAAGCCGCAGCAGCAAAAATCCGCGGCGGCAGGGGCAAAAAGCCGCGGCGGCGGGAGCAAAAAGCCGCGGCGGGCAAAAAGCCGCGGCGGTAAAAAGCCGCGTCGGCGGGGTGGAGGGCAAAAAGCCGCGGCGAGGCAAAAAGCCTTGGCGGGCAAAAAGCTGAGGCGGGGTGGAGGCAAAAAGCTGCGGCGGGTAAAGAGCCGCGGCGGTGTGGGGGGCCAAAAGCCGCGGCGGCGGGTGGGGGCAAAAAGCCAGGGCGGGCAAAAAGCCGCGGCAGCGGAGGGCAAAATAGTGGAGATGGGGTAGAAGGCCGGCACAGCTTGGCGTTGCTGGAGTGTGATGTGATAGGAAATGTGCAGCCAAAGACAAAAAAAGATGTAAGTAAGCTTGACTCATTGCAGCTAAGAACCCAGATGTTATCTTGAGGGTATTAACTAATAAGCAGTTTAAATCAGAATGGCACATTCTGATTTGTTGTTTGTATGTTCACATTTGGCAGGCATAGATACTGTTTGAAGAGAGAAAATTCAGTAGATAGAGGTAACAAACTTAAATATGTGCCAAGTCTAGAAACAAGAGACCAGGGGGATAAGGACCTTTCAAAATAAAATGCAAGATTTGAAAACTGATTGGCTGGGGGATGAGGAAAAGGCAGGTCTTTAAGGTCCATCCCTGTTTTGCTTTAAGGTATTAGGGGGTGGTTTTATCACATATTGTAGAATATGTCATTTCAGTTTTGAACATCTTGAGTTAAATTGTCCTAACATATCTTATGAATTTGATTTTCTTCCCTGGGAAGCTAATATTTCAAAAACTTAAAGAGTATAGGTTTCCAACTTGTATCCAATTTATAAAACTATCTCTAGGCTGCTGGCTTCAGGAGGAGGCTCATGAATATTCTCTTTGCAGAGAATATATCAGGAGTTAACAACAGCTTCAATATTTGTGGACGACGAGTTAACTAAGCCACCTCTTAGTGTATTTAAAGGGAAATCTTAGCTGAAGATATTCAATAATGAACCAACAGTGACTAAAAAATTCAATATTTAAGTATATTTCATTGTAATTAATTTGAATTGAAGTAGCCATATACAGCTAGTATTTACTACAATGAACAATGCAAATAAGAGGAAAAAATTAATAACCATCTCTAATACCACATGCCAAAATCCTCATCAATTTATTCTAGCTAAAGGAGTTTATCAGAAGCAGCAGTTGAAAGCACCAACTAAACCAGCTGGGGTTAGTTCACTGTCATTCTCTCAGAACCATCTCTTCTCTGAACAAAACAAGTACAAGAGTTCATTGTGAATCTGCATTCTCCTTGCCTATTTTAAGGTTTTGATGTTGACACTAATTTGTGAAATCCCTCCTGTGGTGTGATATTTCATTTTCCTTGCTTTCTGTTAGGACAAGAATGCTTCAGCTCTTAATTTAAAATTATGCTTCTCCCTCCTAGGTTGAGTGAACTTAGAATGCATTCTCTGACATATCCAAGTTTTTGTTAATATGAATTTGGGGAAAAAAGCATACTTAATTAGCTAAGACTTCTTATTCTAGGCTTGACCCTGTGTTTGACGTCTTTTGAATTTCTAGTTGCATGGGCTGCTCTCTGACACTGGTTAGTGACCTGGAAGCTATATTAATGTTAGGGGAGGTGGTGTATGAGCATTAGAGGTATCCTTGCAAGGAAAGACTTGTCTTATCTCAATACGTCTTTTTTTTGCCCACAAGAAAGTCAATGTTTGAGTCTTCTAAAATCTTCCTATTTCCAAGTTGCAGAGTACCATTGATTCCTAAACAAAGACCTAATTTTTGACTCAGAGACGTGACAAGGTAGTGAATCGCCATTATAATTTAACAATCTTCAAGATAAAATTATCTCTGATATTTAGATTTTGCCCAATTATTAAGATATTAGGGTGTTTCATTAAGAATGGAAGACTCTAGTCTCTTGAGCAGAGACTATAAAGGCCTCAGATGACCATTTTTAATTTTATGCTCTTTTCTTTAACACCTTCAACACAGTTGGAAGCAGCTGATATTCCCCAGAGTTGTTGTGTTTTTTAAACCAAATGCATGGTTCAGTGGTAGAAAACTGGGCTGATCCAAGCTGTTTTCAGTAAACACTTCATTTCAGGTGACCTATTTCATATTAAATAATCTCTAGATCCTGTCTTCGAAACTAACTAGATCAGATAACCTACCCTGGATTTTCTCCTTTTAGGGTCTGTGAGCTGCAGTCACTTTTGTGAAAATGATTGCAATGACAAGATAGAGTTGTAGATGGGAAAAATGTTTTGACTAATTTAAGCATAGTGGTATTTCATATGAGAATTTAAGTTACACACATTTGAAAATTATAATGGAGTCTCTTGGCTGAGCTTTAAAAAAAATAGCGTTTAGGCTAAAAAGGGAACTGCTACCTCTCCTAAAATCAGAAAGATGTTACAGTAATTCTCCATTCTCTAGAATTATCAGGAAGCACCTTTATGATGATTTACTTTTGCTCTTGGGAGTGTGAGCCTGTGCAGTCGTGGAACCATCAATTAGAATGGTGGCTTTCTGATCCCAAAATCATTCGTTCTGAAAACAATATTTTTCATAAATTTGAAAGTGAGAAATTTTGATCTTGCCATTCCCAAGTAACTCTCTTAATGAGAGGCATCAGCATGCTTCAGTGACAGCTGTCACCTTCCACTGCTGAGAGCCGTCTTTGAGTTCTCCATTTCACTCCCTACACTCCAATTTAGCTGCAGTTCTCTTGGCCAGTCCTATGAAATACATCCATGGCCTAACGACTCCTCACCACTACTACCACTCATCCTGACAGCATTCTCACCTAAGTCACTACCTTTTTTCTTGGGATTACGGTAGCCTCCCAATTTATTTGCTCACATAACCTATTTATTCTACACAGTGCACCAGATACACCCCTTTGAAATGCAAACACAATCATGTTATTCTCTGGTGAAATTGTCTCATATATTCCTATCGCATTTAAAATTAATTCAGAATCATCCCATGATTATCAAAACCCTACATGCTCTTCCACAACATGGTTTACTTCCAAGATATCTCTTCAACTTTTTTTTCACTGTACTGAATTGGTGACTAATAGTCATATTTTTGTTTTTGCTCAAAAAGTCTTGACTTGTGAATTTTTCAGTTTCTCCTTTATCCACAGGTAACTCTTTCCTCATAAGGCTAATTGCTTGCTTCAATGGCCTATTCAGAGAAAGGACATTTGGGAACTTTTCGAGGACAATGACAAAAAGGCAAATAGCCCAGGATAAAAAGTAGAAAGAAACCAACTGAAAAACTGCTCTGTGATGTGTCCATTCATCTTGCAGTGTTATACCTTTCTTGTAACACAGCAGTTTGGAAACACTTTTGTTGTAGAATGTGTGAAGGGATATTTGGGAGCGCCTTGATGCCTATGTGAAAAAGAAAATATCTTCAGATAAAAAGTAGAAAGAAGCTCTCTGAGAAACTGCTTTGTGATGTGTGCATTCACCTGACAAAGTTAAACCTTACTTTTGATTTAGCACTTTCAAAACACTGTTTTTCTGCATTCTGCGAATAGACATTTGGGAGATCATTGAGACCAATGGCAAAAAAGCAAATATCCAAGGATGAAAACTAGAAGGAAGCTATCTGAGAAACCACTTTGTGATGTGTGCATTCAACTCACAGAGTGAAACCTTTATTTTCATACAGCAGTTTGGAAACACTGTTTTTGTAGAATCTGCAAATTGATATTTGAGAGCACATTGAGGCCTAAGGGGTAAAAGTAAGTATCTTCAGATTAAAACTAGAAAGAAACTTTTTGAGAAACTGCTTTGTGATGTGTGTATTCATCTTGCAGACTGAAACCTTTCTTTTGATTCAGCAGTTTGGAAACACTGTTTTTGTCCATTCTGCAAATGAACATTTTGGAGCTCATTGAGGCCAATGGTGAAAAAGAGAATATCCCAGTGTAAAAATTAGAATGAAACTATCTGAGAAATGGTTTTGTGATGTGTGCATTCATCACACAAATTTAAACATTTCTTTTCATTCAGCAGTTTGGAAACTCTGATTTTGTAGATTCTCTGAAGGGCTATTTGGAAGTGCACTGAGATCTACTGTGAAAAAGAAAATATCTTTAGATAAAAACTAGAAAGAATCTTTCTGAGAAACTGCTTTGTGATGTGTGCATTCATCTCGAAATGTTAAAACTTTATTTAGATTCAGCAGTTTGAGAGCACTGTTTATGTCCATTCTGCGAATGGACATTTGAGAGCTCATTAAGGGCAAAGGCAAAAAAAAAAAAAAAATCCCAGGATAAATACTAGAAGGAAGCTATCTGCAAAACCGCTTTGCTATGTGTGCATTCATCTGTCAGAGTTAAAACTTTGCTTTCATTCAGGGGTTTAAAACAGTGTTTTTGTCCATTTTGCAAATGGACATTTGGGAGCTCATTGTGGTCAATGGCAAAAAAGCAATTATCCCAGGATAAATACAAGAAACAAGGTATCTGAGAAACCGCTTTGTGATGTGTGCATTCATCTCACAGAGTTAAACCCTTCTTTTCATTCAGCAGTATAGAAACACTTTTCTTGTAGAATCTGCAAAGGGATATTTGGGAGTGCATTGAGGCCTATGGTGAAAAAGAAAATATCTTCAGATAAAAGCTAGAAAGAAGCTTTTGGAGAAGCTGCTTTGTGACGTGTGCATTCATCTCACAGAGTTAAACCTTTCTTTTGATTCCGGATTTTGGAAACACTGTGTTTGTCCATTCTGGAAATAGCCATTTTTGAGCTCATTGAGGCCAATGGTGAAAAATAAAATACCCCAGCATAAAAACTAGAAGGAAGCTATCTGAGAAACTGCTTTGTGATGTGTGCATTCATCTCACTGATTTAAACCCTTCTTTTATTCAGCAGTTTGGAAACACTGCTTTTGTTCTTCCTGTGAAAGGACATTTTGGAGCTCATTGGGGCCAATGGCAAAAAAGCGAATATCCCAGGATAAAAACAAGAGTGAAGCTGTCTGAGAAACCGCTTTTCGATGTGTGCATTCACCTGGCAGAGGTAAACTTTCCTTTTCAGTCAGCAGTTTGGGAATGCTGTTTTTGTAGAATCTGTGAAGGGATATTTGCGAGTGCATTGAGGCCTGTGGTGAAAAAGGAAATATCTTCAGATAAAAATTAGAAAGAAGTTTCCTGAGAAACTGCTTAAAGAGGTGTGCATTCCTCTCACAGGGTTAAACCTTTCCTTTGATTCAGCAGTTTGGAAACACTGTTTTTGTACATTCTGGGAATGGACATTAGGGAACTCACTGATGCCATTTGTGAAAAACTGTATACCCCAGGAAGAAAACTGGAAGGATATTATCTGAGAAACCCCTTTGTGAAGTCAGCATTCGTCTCTCAGAGTTAAATCTTTCTTTTCATTCAGAAGTTTGGAAACACTGTTTTTGTTGAATCTGCCAAGTAATATTAGGGTGTACGTTGAGGCCTAGGGTGAAAAAGAAAATATATTCAGATAAAAACGAAAAGAAGCTTTCTGAGAAACTGCTTTGTGATGTGTGCATTCATCTCACTGAGTGAAAACTTACTCTTGATTCAGCAGTTTGGAGACACTTTTTTGTGCATTCTGTGAATGGACATTTAGGAGCTCATTGAGTCCAAAGGTGAAAAAGTGAATATCTGAGGATAAAAACTACTACGAAGCTATTGTGAAACCGTTATGTGATGTCTGCATTTATCTCACGGAATTAAACCTTTCTTTTCATTCATCAGTTTGGAAACACTGTTTTTGTAGAATCTGCAAAGAGATATTTGGGAGGGCATTGAGAGCTAAGGCAAAAAAGCAAACATCCGAGGAAAAAAACTAGAAAGAAATTATCTGAGAAATGGCATTATGAAGTGTGCATTCATTTTACAGTGTTAAACCTTTATTTTCATTCAGTAGTTTGGAAATGCTGTTTTTGTCAAATCAGCAAAGGGATATTTTGGAGTGCATTGAGGCCAATGGTGAAAAAGAAAATATCTTCAGATAAAAAGTAGAAGGAAGCTTTCTGAGAAACTGCTTTTTGATGTGTGCATTCATCTCACAGAGATAAACTTTCCATTGATGCAGCAGTTTGGAAACACCAGTTTGTCTTTTCTGTGAGTGGACATTTGGGAGATCATAGAGGCCACTGGAGAAAAAGCAAATATCCAGACACAAAAACTAGAAGGAAACTATCTGAGAAAATACTTTGTTACGTATGCATTCACCTCGCAAAGTTAAACTTTTTTTTCATTAAGCAGTTTGGAAACAATGATTTTGTAGAATATGCGAAGGCATATTTGGGAGAATTTTGAGACTATGGTGAAAAAGAAAATACAGATAAAAACTAGAAAGAAGCTTTCTGAGAAACTGCTTTGACAGGTGTACATTCCTCTCACAGCTAAACCTCTCTTTTGATAGAGTAGTTTGGAAACACTGTTTTTGTCCATTCTGTGAATGGACATTTGGAATCTCATTGAGACCAATTGTGAAAAAGTGAATATCCCTGGATAAAAACTAAAAAAAATCTATCTGAGAAACTGCTTTGTGATGTGTGCAATCATCTTGCAAAGTTAAATCTTTCTTTTAAATCAGCAGTTATCTGCAAAGGGATATTTGGGAGCACTTTGAGGCCTATGGTGAAACAGAAATCATCTTCACATAAAAACTAGAAAGAAGCTTTCTGAGAAACTGCTTTGTGACGTGTGCATTCATCTTACAGACTTTACCTTTCCTTTTCATACAGCAGTTTGGAAACACTGTTTTTGTCCCTTCTGGGAATGGAAATTTGCAAGCTCATTGAAGCCCGTGGTGGAAAAGCAAATATCCCAGGATATAAACTAGAAGGAAACTACCTGATAAATAACTTTGTGATGTGTACATTCAGGTCAGAGTTAAACCATACTTTTGATTCAGCAGTTTGGGAACACATTTTTTGTCCAATGTGCAAATGGACAATTGGGAGCTCATTGAGGAAAATGGAAAAAGGGGAATATCCCAGGTTAAAAACTACAAGAAAGCTATCTGAGAAACTATTTTGTCATGTGTGCATTCACCTCACAAAGTTAAACCTTTCTTTTCATTCAGCATTTTGGAAACACTGTGTTTGTACGATTGGTGAAGGGATATTTGAGAGTATGTTGCACCCTATGGTGAAAAAGAAAATATCTTCAGATAAAAACTAGAAGGAACCTTTCTGAGAAACCACTTTGTGATGTGTGCATTCGTCTCACAGAGTTAAACCTTTCTTTTGATTCAGCACTTTGGAAACACTGTTTTCATCCTTTCTATGAATGGTCATTTGGAAGCTCATTGAGGCTAGTGGTGAAAAAGCTAATATCCCAGGATAAAAACTAGAATAAATCTATCTGAGAAACCACATTGTGATGTGTGCATTTGTCCCACAGATTTAAACCTTTGTTTTTCATGCTGCAGTTTTGAAACACTGTTGTAGAATCTGTGCAGGACTATTTGTGTGTACATTGAGGCCTAAGGTGAAGAAGAAAATATCTTCAGATAAAAACTGGAAAGAAGCTTTCTGAGAAACTGCTTTGTGATGTGTGCATTCATCTCACAGAGTTAAAACTTTCTGTTGATTCAGCAGTTTGGAATAACTGTTTTTGTCAATTCTGCAAATGGACGTTTGGGAGCTCATTCAGGACAAAAGCAAAAAAAAGTGAATATCCCAGAATAAAAATTAGAAGAAAGCTGTCTGAGAAACTGCATTGTGATGTGTGCATTCAACATGCAGCGTTAAACCTTTCTTTTCTTTGAGCAGTTTGGAAACGCTGTTTTAAAGAATCTGCGAAGGGATATTTGGGAGCCCATATAGACCTAGGTTGAAAATATCTTCAGATAGAAACTAGAAAGAAGCTTTCTGAGAAGCAGCATTTTGATGCATGCATTCATCTCACGGAGTTACCACTTTCTTTTGATTCAGTGGTTTCAAAACACAGTTTTTGTCCATTCTGCAAATTGACATTTGGGAGTTCGAGGCCAGTGGTGAAAAAGCATATCCTAGGATAAAAACTAGAAGGAAGCTGTCTCAGAAACGGTTTTTTGATGTGTGCATTCATCTCGCAGATTTAAACCTTTCTTTTCCTTCAGGAGTTTGGAAACACTGTTTTTGTCCATTCTGTGAATGAACATTTGGGAGCTCATGGAGGCCAATAGCAGAAAAGTGAATACCCCTGGATAAAAACAAGAAAGAAGATATCAGAGAAAAGGCATTGTGATGTGTGCCTTCATTTTGCAGAGATAAACCTTTCTTTTCATTCAGCATTTTAAAAACCCTATTTTTGAAGAATCAGGAAAGGGATATTTGGGAGCACATTGAGGCCTATGGTGAAAAGGAAAATATCTTCAGATAAAAATTAGAAAGAAGCTTTATGAGAAACTGCTTGGTGATGTGTGCATTCATCTCATAGAGTTTCACTTTCTTTCAGTTCAGCAGTTTAAAAATTCTGTTTTTGTCCATTCTGTGAATGGACATTTTGAATCTCATTGAAGCCAGTGGTGAAAAACTGAATATCTCAGGAAAAAAATTAGAATGAAGCTGTCTAAAAACCCACTTTGTGTTGTGTGCATTAACCTCAAAGAGTTAAACTTTTCTTTTCATTCAGCAGTTTGGAAACACTGTTTATGTAGAATATGCCAAAGAATATATGGGAGCATATTGAGGCCTATGTTGCAAAGGAAAATATCTTCAGATAAAAACTAGAAGGAAGCTATCTGAGAAACTGCTTTGTGATGTGTGCATTCATCTCACAGAGTTAAAACTTCCTTTTTACTGAGCAATTGGGAAACCCTGTTTTTGCCCATTCTTTGAATGGACATTTTGGAGATCTTTGAGGCCACTGGTGAAAAAACGAATATCCCAGGATAAAAAATAGAATGAAGCTATCTGAGAAACCCCTTTGTGGTGTGCACATTCATCTCACACAGATAAACCTTTCTTTTCATTCAGCAGTTTTGAAAGGCTGTTTTGTAGAATCTTCAAAGTGATACTTGGGAGGGCATACAGGCCTATGTTGAAAAAGAAAATATCTTCACACAACAAAAATAAAGAAAGTTTCTGAGAAACTCCTTTGTGATGTGTGCATTTGCCTCACAGATTTTAACTTTTCTTTTCATTCAGGAGTTTGGAAAAACTGTTTTTGAAGAATCTGCAAAGGGTTACTTGGGAGTGCATTGAGGCTATGGTGAAAAAGAGACTGTATTCATATAAATAGTAGAAAGAAGCTTTCTGAGAAACTGCTTTGTGATTTGTCCATTCAACTCACAGAGTTAGACATTTCTTTTGACTTAGCAATTTGTAACACTGTTTTTTTGTCCATTCTGTGAATGGGTATTTGAGAGCTCATTGAGGTCAATGGCAAAAAAAGCAAATATCCCAAGATAGAAATTAGAAGAAAACTATCTGAGAAACCACTTTGAGATGTGTGCATTCATCTCTCAGAGTTAAACTTTCTTTTCATTCAGCAGTTGGCAAACACTGTTTTTGTAAAACTTGCACAGGTATATTTGGGAGCCTATGGTGAAAAAGAAAATACCTTTATGTAAAAACTAGAAAGAAGCTTTCTGAGAAACTGATTTTTGATGTGTGCCTTCATCTCACAGAGTTAAACCTTTCTTTTCATTCAGCATTATGGAAACACTGTTTATCTAGAATCTGTGAAGGGATATTTGGGAGCACATTGAGGCCTATGGTGAAAAAGAAAATATCTTCAGGTAAAAACTGGAACTAAACTTCCTGAGAAACTCCTCTGTGATGTGTGCATTCATCTCACAGAGTTAAACCATTCTCACTCAGCAGTTTAGAAACACTATTTTTGCCTATTCTTTGAATGGACTTTTTGGAGCTTATTGAGGCTAATGACAAAAAAGCAAATATCCCTAAATAAAAACTAGAAGGAAGCTATCTGAGAAACCACATTGCAATGTTTGGATTCATCTCACAGAGTTAAACTTTCATTTTCATTCAGCTGTTTGGAAACACTGTTTTTGTAGTAACTGCAAAGGGACATATGGGAGCACATTCAAGCCTATGGTGAAAAAGAAAATAAATTCAGATTAAAAACTAGAAAGAGGATTTCTGAGAAACTGCTTTCTGATGTGTGCACATAAATTGTCTTACAGAGTTAAACCTTTCATTTGATTCAGCAGTTTGGAAACACTGTTTTTCTCCATTCTGCAAATGGACATTTGGGTGCTCATGGAGGCCGATGGCAAATAAGAAAATATCCCCAGAAAAAACTAGAAGGAAACTATCTTAGAATCCTCTTTGTGATGTATGCAGTCATCTCACAAAATTAAACTTTTTTTTCATTCAGCAGTTTGGAAACACCACTTTTTCCTTTCTGTCAATGGACATTTGGGAGCGCATTGAAGCCAATGGCAAAAAAGCACATATCAAAGGATACACACTAGAAGGAAGATGTCTGAGAAACCACTTTGAGATGTGTGCATTCATCTCAGAGAATTAAACCTTTCTGTTCTCTTTTTAAATTTTACTTTAAGATCTAGGGCACAAGTGCACAATGTGCAGGTTTGTTACATATGTATACATGTGCCATGTTGGTGTGTGCACCCGTTAAATCATCATTTATATTAAGTATATCTCCTAATGCTATCCCTGCCCCCTCCACCGTCCCCATGACAGGCCCTGGTGTGTGATGTTTCCCTTCCTGTGTCCAAGCGTTCTCATGGTTCAATTCGCACCTATGAGTGAGAACATGCAGTGTTTGGTTTTCTGTCCTTGTGATAGTTGGCTGAGAATGATGGTTTCTGCACGAGAATGGTGGAATCTGCACAGGGGTATTTGGGGTTGCATTGAAGCCTACGTTGAAAAAAGTGAACATCCCAGAATGAAAACTAGAAGGAAGCTATCTGAGAAACCACTTTGTGATTGGTTCATTCATCTCACAGAATTAAACCATTATTTTCATTCAACAATTTGGAAACAATGCTTTTCTGGATCTGCAAAGGGCTATCTGGGAGAGCATTGAGTCCTATGGTGAAAAATAAAATATCTTCACATAAAAACAATAAAGAAGATTTCTGAGAAACTGCTTTGTCATGTGTGCATTCAACTCTCAGAAATAAAAATTTCTTTTGATTCAGCAGTTTGGAAATACTGTTTTTGTTCCTTCTGTGAATGGATATTTGGGAGCTTTTTGATGCCAATGGTGAAAAAGAAAATATCCCAGGATAAAAACTAGAAGGAAGCTATCTAGAAACCACTTTGTGATATGTGCATTCATCCCTCAGAGTTAAACCTTTCTTTTCAGTGAGCAGTTTTGAAACAGTATATTTTAGAATCTGCAAAGGGACTTTTAGAAGTGCATTGAGGACTATGGTGAAAAAAGAAATATCTTCAGATAAAAACCAGAAAGAAGCTTTCTGAGAAACTGCTTTGTTATGTATAAATTCCTCTCACACGGTTACACCTCTCTTTACATACAAAAATTTGTAAACACTGTTTTTGTCCATTTCTGTGAATGTATATTTGGGAGCTCATTGAGGCCAATGGAAATAATGAATATGCTTGGATCAAAACTACAAGGAAGCTATCTCAGAAACTGCTTTGTGATGTCTGCATTAGTCTCACAGAGTGAAGCCATTCTTTTCATTCAGCAGTTTGGAAACACTGTTTCTGTAGAATCTGTGAAGGGATATTTGGGAGAGTATTGAGGCCTATGGTGAAAAAGAAAATATCTTCAGATGAAAACTAGAAAGAAGCTTTCTGAAAAACTGCTTTGGGAGGTGCGCATTCATCTCACAAATTTAAACCTTTCTTTTGATTCGGCAGTTTGGAAACTGTATTTCTCCGTTGGGTAAATGGACATTTGGGAGCTCATTGAGGCCAATTGTGAAAAAGCAAATATCCCAGGATAAAATCTCGAAGGAAGCTGTCTGAGAATCTGCTTTGTCATGTGTACCTTCATCTCACAGAGTTAAACCTTTCTATTCTTTCAGCAGTTGGAACACTATTTTTAAAAAATCTGTGATGGGATATTTGGGAGTGCATTGAGACCTATTGTGAAAAAGAAAATGTCTTCAGAAAAAAACCAGAAAGAAGTTTTCTGAGAAACTGCTTTGTGATGTGTGCATTCCTCTCAGAGAGCTAAACCTTTCTTTTGATTCAGTAGTTTGGAAAAACTGATTTTGTCCATTCTGTGAATGGACATTTGGGAGATCATTGAAGCCAATGGTCAGAAATAAAATCTCCCATGATAAAAAATAGAAGGAAGCTATCTGAGAATCCACTTTGTCATGTGTGGATTCACCTCACAGAGCTAAACCTTTCTATTCATTCAGCAGTTTGGAAACACTGTTTTTAAAGAATATGCAATTTGATATTTGGAAGCTCATTGAGGACTATGGTGAAAAAGAAAATATCTTCAGATAAAAACTAGAAGGAAGCTTTCTGAGAAACTGCTTTGTGAAGTTTGCATTCATCTCATAGAGTTAAACCATTCTTTTGATTCAGCAGTTTGGAAACACTCTTTTTGTCAATTCTGCATATGAACACTGGGATCTCGGTGAGGCCAATGGCAAAAAAGTGAACATCCCAGGAAAAAAACTAGAAGAAATATATCTGAGACACCGCTTCACAAAGGGTACGTTCATCCCACAGAGTTAAACCTTTTTTTTTTCCATTCAGCAGTTTGGAAACACTGTTTTTGTATAATCTGCAAAGGGATATTTGGGAGCACCTTGAGGTCTATGGTGAAAATAAAGTAAATTCAGATAAAAACTAGAAGAAGCTTTCTGAGAAACTGCTTTCTGATATGTGCATTCATCTCACAGAGTTAAACTTTCTTTGATTCAGCTGTTTTGAAACACTGTTTTTGTCCATTCTGTGAACGGACATTTGGGAACTCATTGAGGCCAACATCAAAATATTGAATATCCCATGATAAAAACTACAATAAAGCAGTCTGAGAAACCGTTTTGTGATGTGTGCATTCATCTAACAGAGAAAAACCTTTCTTTTGATTCAGCTGTTTGGAAACACCGTGATTGTCCATTGTGCGAATGGATATCTGAGTGCTCATTCAGTCCAATAGCGAAAAAGCAATTATCCCAGGATAAATAGTGGAAGGAAGCTGTCTTAGAAACCACTTTGTGATGTGTCCATTCATCTCCCACAGTTAAACCTTTCTTTTGATACATCACTTTGGAAACACTGTTTTTGTACAATCTGGGAAGGGGTATTTTGGAGTGCATTGAGGTCTATGGTGAAAAAGAAAATACGTTCAGTTGAAAACTAGAAAGAAGTTTTCTGAGAAACTGCTTTGTGAGGTGTGCATTCATCTCACAGTGTAAAACCTTTCTTTAGATTCAGCAGTTTGGAAATACTGTTTTTGTCCATTCTGCCAATGGACATTTGGGAGCACATTGAGGCCAATAGCAAAAAAGTGAGTATCCCACAGTAAAAACTAGAAGGAAGCAAACTGAGAAACCAGTTTGCATTGTGTGCAAACTGCCTCCCACAGTTAAACTTTTCTTTTGATTCAGCAGTTGGAGACACTGTGTTTGTCCATTCTGTGAATGCACTTTTGGGAGCTCATTGAGGCCAATGGTGAAAAAAGCAAATATCCCAGGATGAAAACTGGAAGGAAGCTATCTGAGAAACTGCTTCATGATGTGTGCATTCATAAGTCAGTGTTAAACATTTCTTTACATTTAGCAGTTTGGAAACACTGTTTTTGTAGAATCTGTGTAAGGATATTTGGAAATGCATTGAGGTATATGGTGAAAAAGAATATATCTTCAAATAAACTTAGAAAGAAACTTTCTGAGAAACTGCTTTGTGACATGTGGATTTATCTCACATAGTTAAAACTTTTTCTCATACAGCTCTTTTCAAACACTGTCTTTGTCCATTCTGCAAATGGACATTTGGGAGCTCATTGAGGACAATGGCGAAAAAGTGAATATCCCAGAATAAAAACAAGAAGGAAGCTGCCTTAGAAACCATAATGTGATGTGTGCATTCATCTCACATAGTTAAACCTTTCTTTTGATACAGCAGTTCAGAAACACTTTTTGTCCATTCTGCAAATGGACATTTGGGAGCTCTTTGAGGCCCATGGCAAAAAAGTGAATATCCAAGGTTAAAAACTGGAAGGAATCTATCTGAGAGCCCGCTTTATGATGTGAACATTCATCTTGCAGAGTTAAACTATTTTTGATTGAGCAGTTTGTAAACTCTGTTTTTGTCCATTCTGTGAATGAACACTTGGGAGCTCATTGAGGCCAATGGTGAAAAAGTTAATATCCCAGGATAAAAACCAGTAGGAAGATATCTGAGAAATAACTTAGTGATGTACACATTCGTTTGGCAGAATTAAACCTTTATATTTATTCAGTAGTTTGGAAGCACGGTTTTTGTAGAATCTGTGAAGGGATCTTAGGGAGCACATTCAGGCCTTCAGTGAAAAAGAAAATATATTCAGATAAAAACCAGAAAGAAGATTTCAGTGAAACAGCTTAGTGATGTGTGAATTCATCTCACAGAGTTAAAAAAATTCTATCATTCAGCAATTTGGAAACACTGTTTTTGTAGAACCTTCAAAGGGATATTTGGGAACACATTGAGGCCTATAGTGAAAAACAAAGTATATTCAGATGAAAATTAGAAAGAAGCTCTCTAAGAAACTGCTTTGTGGTGTGTGCATTCATCTCACAGAGTTAAACTTTTCTTTTGATTCAGCAGTTTGGAAAAACTGTTATTGTCCATTTTGTGAATGGATATTTTGGAGCTCACTGATGTCAATGATGAAAAAGCAAATATCACAAGATAAAATCTAGAAAGAAGCTATCTGGAAACTGCTTTGTGATGTGTGCATTCACATCACAGAGACAAACGTTTCCTTTCATTCAGTAATTTGGAAACACTGTTTTTGTCCATTCTGGAAATGAACTATCGTAAGCTCATTGAGGCCAAAGGTGAAAAAGCGAATATTCCAGGATAAAACCTTGAAGGAAGCTATCTGAGAAACCACTTTGTGATGTGTGCATTCATCTCACAGAGTTAACATTTCTATATGTTTAGCAGTTTCAAAACACTATTTTGTAGAATATGCAAAGGGATATGTGGGAGCGCATCAAAGCCTCTGGTGAAAAAAAAATCCTCAGAAAGGAACTAGAAAAAAGCTTTCTGAGAAACTGGTTTTTGATGTGGGTATTCATCTTAAAGAGTTAAACCTTTCTTTTGATTCAGCAGTTTGCAAGCACTGTTTTTCTCCTTTCCACGAATGGACATTTTGGAGCTCATTGAGGCCAATGGCGAAAAAGCAAATATCCCAGTATAAAAAGTAGAAGGACACAGATTTGTGATGTGTGAATTCATCTCACAGATTTAAATTTTCTTTTGAATCAGCAATTTGGAAACACTATTTTTGTAAAACCTGTGAAGGGATATTTGGAAGTGCATGGAGGCCTATGGTGAAAAAAACTATTTTCAGATAAAAACTAGAAAGAAACTTTCTGAGAAACTGCGTTTTGATATGTGCATTCATCTCACAGATTTAAAATTTTCTTTTGATTCAGCAGTTTGGAAACACTGTTTCTGTCCATTCTATGAAAGGACATTTGAAAGCTCATCAAGGCCAACAAAGACAAAGAGACTATCCCAGGAAAACAACTGGAAAGAAGCTATCTGAGAAACTGCTTTGTTATGTGTGCATTCATCTCACAGATCTACATCTTTCTTTGGTTCAGCAGTTTGGAAACACTGTTTCCGTCCATTCTGCAAAAGGATATATGAAGGCTCATTGAGGCCAATGGTGAAAAAGCTAATATCCAAGGATAAAAACTGGAAGGAATCTATCTGAAAAAATGCTTTGTGATGTCTGCATTCATCTTGCAGAGTTAAACTTTTTTTTTGATTGAGTTGTTCGGAAACTCTGTTTTTGTCCATTCTGCAAGTGGACACTTAGAAACTCATTGAGGCCAATTGCAGAAAAGTGAATATCCCATTATAAAAGCTAGTATGAAGCTATCTGAAATACTGCTTTGTGATGTGTGCACTCATCTTGCAGAATTAAACTTGCCTTTTCATTCAGCAGTTTGGAAGCACTGTTTTTGTAGAATCTTCAAAGGGATATTTGGGAGTGCATTGAGGCCTACATTGAAAAGGAAAATATCTTCAGATAAAAACTGGAAGGAATATCCCAGGAAAAAACCTAGAAGAACCTATCTGAGAAACTGCTTTACAAAGTGTGCATTCATCTACCAGAATTAAATCTTTTTTTCATTCAACAATATGGAAACACTGCTTTTGTAGAATCTGTGAAGGGATATTTTGGAGTGTCTTGAAGTCTATGGTGAAAAAGAAAGTAAATTCAGATAAAAACTAGAAGAAGTTTTCAGATAAACTGCTTTCTGATGTGTGCATTCATTCCACAGAGTTAAATATTTATTTGATTCAGCAGTTTTGAAACACTGTTTTTGTCCATTCTGTGAATGGACATTTGGAAGCTTATTGAGGCCAATGTTGAAACAGCAAATATCCCAAGATTAAAACTACAATAAAGCAGTGTGAGAAACTGCTTGGTGATATGTGCATTCATCTAGCAGAGATAAATCTTTCTTTTTGATTCAGCTGTTTGGAAACACTGTGATTGTCAATTCTCCGAATGGACACTTGGTATGTCATTGAGGCCAATGGAGAACAAATGAATATCACAGGATAAAAACTAGTAGGAAAATATCTGAGAAAACCCTTTGTGATGTACGCATTCATCTGGCAAAATTAATCCTTTATTTCATTCAGCAGTTTGGAAGCACGGTTTTTGGAGAATCTGCAAAGGGATCTTAGGGAGCACATTCAGGCCTACAGTGGAAAAGAAAATATCTTCAGGTAAAAACTAGAAAGAAGGTTTTGGTGAAACAGCTTTGTGATGTGTGCTTTCATCTCACAGAGTTAACCATTTTATCATTCAGCAGTGTGGAAACACTGTGTTTGGAGAATCTTTGAGGTTATATTTGGGAGCACATTGAAGCTAATTGTGAAAAAGAAAGTATATTCAGGTAAAAACTAGAAAGAAGCTCTATAAGAAACTGCTTTGTGATGTCTGCATTCATCTCACAGAATTAAACTTTTCTTTTGATTCAGCACTTTGGAAACACTGTTTCTGTCCATTCTGCAAATGGACATTTTGGAGCTCATTGAGGCCAGTGTTGAAAAAGTAAATAACCCAGGATAAAATCTAGAATGAAGCTATCTGGAAACCGCTTTCTGGTGTGTGCATTCATCGCACAAAGATAAAATTGTTTTTTCATTCAGCAATTAGGAAACATTGTTTTTGTCCATTCTGTGAATGGACATTTGGGAGCTTATTGAGGCCAATGGCAAAAAGGTGAATTTTCCAGGATAAAAACTAGAAGGAAGCTATAGAAGAAACCACTTTGTGACGCGTGCATTTATCTCACAGAATTAACTTTCCTATACATTCAGCAGTTTGGAAACACTATTTTTGTAGAATCTACAAAGGGATATGTTGTACTGCATCGAAGGCTCTGGTGAAAAAAAAATATCCTCAGACAAAAACTAGAGAAAAGCTTTCTGAGAAACTGGTTTTTTAGGTTGGCATTTATCTCATAGAGTTAAGCCTTTCTTTTGATTCAGCAGTTTGCAAACACTGTTTTTGTCTATTCTGCAAATGGACATTTGGGAGCTCATTGAGGCCAATTGAGAAAAAGCAAATATTCCAGGATTAAAACTAGAAGGAAGCTCTCTGAGAAACTGCTTTGTGATGTGTGCATTCATCCCTTTTCATTCAGCTGCTGGGAAACACTGTGTTTTTAGAATCTGCAAAGGGATATTTGGGAGGGCATTGAGGCCTATGGTGAAAAAGAAAATATCTTCAGATAAAAACTAGAAAGAAGCATTCTGCTCTGTGTTGTGTGCATTAATCTCACAGAGTTAAACTTTTCCTTGATTCACCAGTTTGGAAACACTCTTTCAGTCCATTCCGTGAAGGGACGCTGGGGAGCTGATTGAGGCCAATGGCAAAAAGGCGAGTATCCCAGGACAAAAACAAGAAAGAAACTATCTGACAAACGGCTTTGTGATGTGTGCTTCATCTCACAGAGATAAACCATCCTCTCATTCAGCAGTCTGAAAACTCTATTTTTCTAAAATCTGCAAAGGGATATTTGGGAGTACATTTTGTCCTATTGTGAAAAAGAAAATATCTTCAGGTAAAAGCCAGAAAGAAGCTTTTTGTGAAACTGCTTTCTGATGTGTGCATTGATCTCACGGAGCGAAAACTTTCTTTTGATTCAGGAGTTTGGAAACACTGTTTCTGTCCATTCTGTGAATGGACTTTTGAAAAGTCATTGAGGTCAATCATGAAAAAGTGAATATCCCAGGATAAAAACAAAAGGAAGCTATCTGAGAAACCGCTTTGTGATATATGCATTCATCTCACAGAATTAAAATTTGCTTTTCCTTCATTAGTTTGGAAACACTGTTTTTGCAGAATCTGTGAAGGCAAATTTAGGAGCATGTTGAGGCCTACAGTGGAAAAGAAAGTAAATTCAGATAAAAACGAGAAAGAAGCTGTCTGAGAAACTGCTTTGTAATGTGTGCATTCGTTTCACAGTGTTGAACTTTTCTTTTAATTCACCAGTTTGGAAACACTGTTTTTGTCCATTCTGCAAATGGATATTTGGCAGCTCAGTGAGGCCAAAGGAGAAACAGTGAATATCCCATGATAAAAACTACAATGAAGTTATCTGGGAGACTGCCCTGTGATATGTGCATTCATCTCTCATTGTTAAAGGTTTCTTTTGATTCAGCAGTTTGGAAACACTGTTTTTTTAGTATCTTTGAAAGGCTATGTGGGGAGCATTGAGGCCTGTGGTGAAAACAAAATATCTTCAGATTAAAAACTGGAAAGAAGCTTTCTGAGAAACTCCTTTTGATGTTTGCATTCATCTCACAGAGTTAAAACTTTCTTTTCATTCAGCAGTTTGGAAACACTCTTTTTCTCCATCCTGCTATTGGACATTTCAGAGCTCAATGAGGCCGATGGCAAAAAAGTGAATATCCCAGGACAAAAACAAGAAGAAAGCTATCTGAGAAACCGCTTTGTCACATGTGCATCCATTTAGCAGAGTTAAGCTTTTCTTTTGCATTCAGATGTTTGGAAATAATGTTTTTCTAGAATCTGTGATGGGATTTTTGTGAGCTCATTAAGGCCTATGGTGAAAAAGGGAATATCACAGAACAAAAACTAGAAGGAAGCTATCTGAGAAACTACTTTGTGATGTGTAAAACTGTCGTTTCATTCAGCACTTTGGAAACACTGTTTTTGTAGAATCTGAGAAGTGATATTTGGGAGTGCATTGGGGCATGTGGTGGAAAAGAAAATATCTTCAGATAAAAACTAGAAAGAAACTTTTTGAGAAACTGCTTTGCAATGTGTGCATTCATCTCACAGAGGTAAAACCTTCTTTGGATTCAGCAATTTGGAAACACATTTTTTGTACATACTGTGAATGGATATTTGGGAGCTCTTTGAGGCCAATGTTGAAAAAGTAAATATTCCTAGATAAAAATTAGCAGGAAGGTAACTGAGAAATAACTTTGTGATAGGTGCATTCATGTCACAGACTTAAAACTTACTTTCGAGTCAGCCTTTTGGAAAAAGAGTTTATGTCCATTCTGAGAATGGAAATTTGCATGCCCATTGAGGCCATTGCAAAAAACTGAATATCCCAGGATAAAAAGTAGAATTAACCTATCTGGAAACCGCTTTGTGATGTATGCATTCACCTGGCAGTGTTAAAACATTCTTTTGATTTAGCAGTTTGGAAACACTGTTTTCATTCATTCTGTGAATGGACATTTGGTTGCTCATTGATGCCAATTTCAAAAAAGTGAATAACCCAAAACAGAAACAACAAAGAAGCTATCTGAGAACCCACTTTGTGATGTGTGTATTCATCTCACAGTTAAACCTTTCTTTTCATTTAGAAGTTTGAAAACATTGTTTTTGTAGAATCTGCGAAGTGATAATTTGCAGTGCATTGAGGCCTGTGGTGAAAAAGGAAATATCTTCAGAAAGAAGCTTTCTGAGAAACTGCTTTTTGATGTGTGCATTTATCTCACAGAGTTAAACATTTCTTTTGATTCAGCAGTTTGGAAACTGATGCCTATATTGAAAAGAATATGTTTATATAAAAACTGGAAAGAAACTTTCTGAGCAACTACTTTGTGACGTATGAATGATGTATGAATTCATCTCACAGAATTAAACCTTTCTTTTGATTTAATAGTATTGAAACACTGTTTTTGCCAATTCTGCAAAAGCAGATTTTGGAGCTCATTGAGGGCAATGATGAAAAAGTGGATATAACAGCATAAAAACTAGAAGGAAGCCATGTGAGACACAGCTTTGGGCTGCATGCATTCATATCCCAGAGATAAAACTGTCTTTCACTAAGTAGTTTGGAAACACTGTTTTTGTAGAAACTGTGAAGAGACATTTAGGAGCACAATGAGATCTATGGTAAAAAAGAAAATATCTTCAGATAAGAATTAGAAAGTAGTTTTATAAGAAAATGCTTTATGATGTGTTCATTCATCTTACAGAGTTAAACCTTTCTTTTGATTCACTAGTTTGGAAACACTTTTTGTCCATTCTGAAAATAAACATTTGTAGTCTCACTGAGGCCAAAGGTGAAAAAGGAAACATCCCAGAATAAAAACTAGAAGGAAGCAATCCTACAAACTGCTCTGTGATGTGTGCATTGATTACAGAGAGTTAAACCTCTCTTTGGATTAAGCAGTCCGGAAACACTGTTTTTGTCCATTCTGCTAATGTACATTTGGGAGCTCGTTGAGGACAGTGGTGAAAAAGGAATAACCCCAGATGACAATTAGGAGGAAGCTATCTGAGAAACTGCTTTGTGATGGATGTGGGCATTCATCTCACAGAGTTAAACCTTTCTTTTCATTCAGCAGTTGGAAACACTGTTTTTGTCCATTCTGTGAATGGACATTTGGGAGCTCATGGAGGCCAAAGTTAAGTAGCAAATGTTCCCTGATAAAACTGGAAGGAACCTATATGAGAAACTGCTTCGGTTATGTGCATACCTCACACAGAATTAAACCTTATTGAGGAGTTTGGAAACACTGTTTTGCAGAATCTGCAAAGGGATATTTTGCAGTGCATTGAGGCCTGTGGTGAAAAAGGAAACACCTTCAGATAAAAACTAGAAAGAAGCTTTCTGAGAAACTGCATTTTTATGTGTGCATTTATCTCACAGTGTTAAACATTTCTTTTGATTCAGCATTTTGGAAACACTGTTTTTTTTTTTTTACATTATGTGAATGGACGTTTTAGGACTCATTGAGGCCAATAGCGAAAAAGTGAATATCCGTGGCTATTCACTAGAAGGAAGCTATCTGAGAAACTGCTTTGTGATGTGTGCATTCACCTCACAGAGTTAAACCTTTGTTTTGATTCTGCTGTTTGGTAACACTGTTTTTGTAGAAACTGCAAAGGAATATTTGGATGTGCATTGAAGTCTATGGTGAAAATGAAAATATCTTCAGATAAAATCTAGAAAGAAGCTTTCTGAGAAACTGCTTTGTAATGTGTGCATTTATCTCATGAAGTTAATATTTTCTTTTGATTCAATAGTTTGGAAACACTGTTTATTTCCATTCTGTGAATGGATGGAGCTCATTGAGTCAAATGGCAAAAATGGGAATATCCCAGGATAAAAACTACAAGGAAGCTAACGGTGAAACCACTTTTTGATGTGTGCATTCATCTCGCAGATTTAAACCTTTATTTCTTTCAGAAGTTAGGAAATACTGTTTTTGTAGAATCTGCAAAGGGATATTTGGGATCCTGCTGAGGCCTATTTTGAAAAAGAAAATAACCTCAGATGAAAACTAAAAAGAAGCATTGTGAAACTGCTTTGAGATGTGTGCATTCATCTGACAGAGTTAATCCATTCTTTTCACTCAGAAGTTTGGAAACAGTGTTTTTGTAGAATGTGTGAGAGTATATTTTGAAGTGCATTGAGGCGTATGGTGGAAAAGGAAATATCTTAAGATAAGAACAAGACAGAAGCTTTCTGAGAAACTGCTTTTTGATATGTGCATTCATCTCACAGAGTTGAACATTTGTTTTGATTTAGCAATTTGGAAACCCTCTTTTTGTCCATTCTATGAATGGAAATTTGGGAACTCATTGAAAACAATGGGGAAAGTGAATATCCCAGGGTAAATATAGAATAAGAATATCTGAGAAACTGCTTTGTGATGGATGTGGGCATTCATCTCACAGAGTTAAACCTTTCTTTTCATTCAGCAGTTGGAAACAGTGTTTTTGTCCATTCTGTGAATGGACATTTGGGAGTTCATGGAGGCCAAAGGTTAAGTAGCAAATGTTCCCTGATAAAACTGGAAGGAACCTATATGAGAAACTGCTTTGGTTATGTGCATACATCACACAGAATTAAACCTTATTTTCTTTCAGCAATATGGAAACACTGTTTTTGTGGAATCTGCAAGGGGATATTTTAGAGCATATTAAGGCATATGGTGAAAAATAAAATATCTTCAGATAAAAAGTAGAAAAAAGCTTTCTGAGAAGCTGCTTTGTTATGTGCGCTTTCAACACACAGAGTTAAACCTTTCTTTTGATTCAGCAATTTGGAAACACCATTTTTATCTATTTGGAGAATGGACATTTAGGAACTCTTTGCAGCCAATGGCGAAAAAGTGAATATCCCAGGATAAAAACTACAAGAAAGTTTTCTGAGAACCAGCTTTGTGATGTGAGCATTCATCTCACAAAGTTAAACCTTTCTTTTGATTCAGCAGTTTGGAAACACCGTTTTTATCTATTCAGAGAATGGACATTTCAGATCTCTTTGAGCCCCAAAGTGAAAAAGCGAATCTCCCATGATAAAAAACAGAAGGAATCTATCTGATAAACTGCCTTGTGATGTGTACATTCACCTCAAAGAGTTAAACTTTTCATTCAGCAGTTTGGAAAAACTGTTTTGGTAGAATCTGCAAAGGTGTACTTGGGAGCGCGTTGGGGCCAAACTAGAAGTTTCCTTTTAGTTTTTATCTGATGATACTTTCTTTTTCACCAGAGGTCTCAATGTGCTCCCACCTATCCCCTCGCAGAGACTACAAAAACAGTGATTCCAAACTGCTGAATGAAAATAAAGGTTTCAGTCTGTGGGATGAATGCACATATCACAAAGCCATTTCTCATATAGCTTCTTTCTAGTTTTCATCCTGGGATATTCACTTTTTCACCTTTGGCCTCCATGAGCTCCCAAATGTCCATTCACAGAATGGACAAAAACAGTGTTTCCAAACTGCAGAAAGAAAAGAAAGGTTTCAATATGTGGGATGAATGCGCACATCACAAAGCAGCTTCTCAGATAGATTCCTTCTCATTTTTATCTGGGATTTTTGATTTTTCCCCGTTGGCCTCAGTGAGCTCTCAAATGTTCATTTGCAGAATGGACAAAAACAATTTCCAAACTGCTGTATAAAAAGAATCTTTATCTCTGTGAAATGAAAACACAAATCATTAAGAGGTTTGTCAGAGTGCTTCCTTCTAGTTTTTATCCTAGGATATTCCCTTTTTCACCATTGGCCTCAACAAGCTCCAAATGTCCATTCACAGAATGGACAGTGTTTCCAAACCAAGGAATCAAAAGAAAAGTTTATCTTTGTGAGATGAAGGCACCCTTCACAAAGCAGTTTCTCAGAAACCTTCTTTCTAGTTTTTATCTGAAGATATTTTATTTTTCACCATCGGCCTCAATGTGCTCCCAAATATCCCTTTGCAGATTCTACAAAAACAGCGTTTCCAAACAGCTGAATGAAAAAAAAGTTTAACTCTGTGAGATGAATGCACACATCACAAAGTGGTTTCTCAGATAGCTTCCTTGTAGTTTTCATCTGGGCATATTTTCTTTTTCACCATTGGCCTCAATGAGCTCCCAAATATCCATTCAGAGTATGGACAAACACAGTGATTCCAAACTGCTGCATGAAAAGAAAGGTTTAACACTGTGAGATGAATGCACACATCACAAAGTAGTTTATCAAAAATCTTCTGTCTAGTTTTTATCTGAAGATATTTTCCTTTTCAGCATAGGCCTCAAGGCACTAGCTAATATTCCTTCACAGATTCTACAAAACAGTGTTTCCAAACTGCTGAATGAAAAAGAAGTTTTAACTCTGCGTGATGAATGTACACATCACAGAGTGGTGTCTCAGATAGCTTCCTTTTCGTGTTTATCCTGGGACATTTGCTTTTTCACCATTGGCCTCAATGAGCTCCCAAATGTTCATTCGGATCATGGACAAACACAGTGATTCCAAACTGCTGCCTCAAAGGAAATGTTTAAATCTGTGAGATGAATGCACACATAACAAATTGCTATCTCACATAGCTTCCCTCTACTTTTTGTCTTGGGATATATGCGTTTTTGCCATGGGCCACAATGAGCTCCCAAATGTCCATTCACAGATTGGAAAAACAGTGTTTCCAAACAGCTGAATCAAGAGTAAGGTTTAACTCTGTCAGATGAATGCATACTTCACAAGGTAGTTTCTCAGAAACCATCTTTCTATTTTTTATCTAAAGGTATTTTCCTTTTCACCATAGGCCTCAAAGCACTCGCAAATATCCCTTTGTAGTTTGTACAAAAACAGTGCTTCCAAACTGCTGAATGAAAAGAAAGGCTTAAAGGACTTTGTGAGATGAATGGACACTTTGTAAAGCAGCTTCCCAGACAGCTTATTGTAGTTTTTTTCCTGGCATATTCACTTTTTCACCTCCAGCCTCAATGAGCTCCCAAATGTCCATTCACAGAAAAGACAATAGCAGTGTTTCCTAACTGCTGAATCAAAAGAATGTTTTAATTCTGTGAGAAGAATGCACACATCACAAAGCAGTTTCTCGGAAAATTTCTTTTTAGTTTTTATCTGAATATATTTCTTCAACATATGCCTCATTACATTCCCAAGTATCCCTTCGCAGATTCTACAAAATCAGTTTTTCCAAACTTCTGAATGAAAGGAATGTTTTAACTCTGTGAGATGAATGCACACATCACAAAGCAGTTTCTCAGAAACCTTCTATCCAGTTTTTTTTCTGAAGTTATTTTCTTTCTCATCATCAGCCTAAATGTGGTCCCAGATGTCCATTCGCAGAATGAAAAAAACAGTG
Source organism: Homo sapiens (assembly GCF_000001405.40). NCBI lineage: Eukaryota > Metazoa > Chordata > Mammalia > Primates > Hominidae > Homo > Homo sapiens. The sequence goes on along the minus strand of NT_187383.1, from coordinate 599,005 downwards.
TTTCCAAACAGCTGAATAAAAAGAAAGGTTTACCTAGGTGCAGTGAATGCAGACATCACAAAGAAGTTTATCAGAAAGCTTCTTCATAGTTTCTATAATGGGACATTCGATTTTTCACCATTGGACTCAATGAGCTCCCAAATATCCATTCAAACAGTGGACAAAAACGGTATTTCCAAACTGCTGAATGAAAAGAAAGTTTTAACTCTGCCAGATGAATGCATACATTGCAAGTCTGTTTCTCAGATAGCTTCCTTCTAGTTTTTATCCTGGTATATTCGTTGTTTCTCCATTGGTCTCCATGAGCTCTGAAATGTCCACTCGCAGAATGGAAAAAAAAAGTTTTTCCAAACCACTGAATCAAAAGAAAATTTTAACTATGTGTGATGAATTCACATATCACAAAACAGTTTCTCAGAAAGTTTTTTTCCAGTTTTTATCTGAGGGTATTTTGTTTTTCACCATAGGCTTCAATGCACTCTGAAATATCCCCTTGCAGATTCTTCAAAAACAGTGCTTCCAAACTGCTGAATGAAAAAAAAAGGTTTAAATCAGGGAGATGAATTCACATATAATGAAGCGGTTTCTCACATTTCTTCTTTCAAATTTTTAGTTGAAGAGATTTTCTTTTTCATCACAGACCCCACTGTGCTCCAAAATATAACTTCAAAGATACTACAAAAACAGTGTTTCCAAACAGCTGAATTAAAAGAGATGTTTACCTCTACGAGATGAATACACACATCAAAAAGCAGTTTCTCAGATTGCTTCCTCTTAGTTCTTATCCTGGGACATTCGCCTTTTCACCATTGACCTCAATAAGCTCCCAAATGTCCATTCACTGAATAGATAAAAGAGTGTTTCCAAACTTCTGAATCAAAATAAATGGTTAACACTGTGAGCTGAATGTGCTCATCACAAAGCAGTTTCTCAGAGAGATTCTTCCTAGTTTTTATCTGAAGATATTTTCCTTATCACCATAGGCCTCAAAGCAACCCCAGATATCCTTTTGCAGGTTCTGCAAAAAGAGTGTTTCCAAACTGCTGAACAAAATGAAAGTTTTAAATCTGTGATATGAATGCACACATCAGAAAGTACTTTCTCAGATAGCTTCCTTCTAGTTTTTATCTTGGGGTATTCACTTTTCACCATTGGATTGAATGAACTCCAAAAAGTCCATTCACAGAATGGACAAAAACTTTTTCCACACTGCTGAATCAAATGAAAGGTTTATCTCTGTGAGATGAATGCCCACATCACAAAGTAGTTTCTCAGAAATTTCTGTCTAGTTTTTATCTGAATTTATATTGTTTTTCACCATTGGCCTCAGTGAGCTCCTAAATGTCCACTCACAGGTTCTACAAAAACAGTGTCTTTAAACTGCTGAATGAAAAGAAAGATTTAACTCCTCGAGCTGAATGAACACATCAAAAAGCAGTTTCTCAGATACCTTCCTTCTAGTTTTTATCCTGGGGTATTCCCTTTCTTTGCCATTGGCCTCAGAGAACTCCAAAATGTGCTTTCACACAATGGACAAAAAGAGAGTTTCCATATTACTGAGAAAGGTTTAACTCTGTGAGATGAATGCACACATCACAAAGCACACATCACAAAGCAGTTTCTCAGAAAGCTTTTTTATAATTTTTATCTGAAGATATTTTCTTTTTCACCACATGCCTCAATGCCCTCCTAAATATCCCTTCGCAGATGCTACAAATACAGTGTTTCCAAACAGCTGAATAAAAAGAAAGGTTTACCTCAGCCAGATGAATACACACATCACAAAGCAGTTTATCAGATAGGTTCTTCATAGTTTTTATCATGGGACATTCGATTTTTCACCATTGGACCCAAAGAGCTCCCAAATGTCCATTTGCAGAATGGACAAAAACAGTGTTTCCAAAAGGTTGAATGAAAAGAAAAGTTCAATTCTTCGAGATGAGTGTACACATCACAAAGAAGTTTCTCAGACAGCTTTCTCTTAGTTTTTATATTGGGGCATTTTGTTTCTCACTTTTGGCTTCAATGAGCTCCCTAATATCCATTTGCAGAATGGATAAAAGCAACGATTCCAAAATGCTGAATCAAAAGAAAGGTTCACCTCTGTGAGCTGAATGCACACATCACAAAGCAGTCACACAGAAAACTTTTTTCTATATTTTATCCGAGGACATTTTCTTTTTCACCATAGTCCTCAACGTGCTCCCAAATATCCATTCACAGATTCTACAAAAATGGTAGCTCCAAACTGCCTAATGAAAAAAAGGTTTAACTCAGGGAGTTGAATGCACACATCACAAAGCAGTTTCTCAGATAGATTCCTCTTATTTTTTATCCTTGGACATTCTCTTTTTCCCCATTGGCCCCAATTTTCTCCCAAATGTCCATTCACAGAATGGACAAAAAGAGTGATTCCAAACTGCTGAATCAAAACAAAGGTTTAACTCAGTGAGATGAATGCACACATCATAAAGAAGTTTCTCAGAATGATTCTTTCTAGTTTTTATCTGAAGATATTTACTTTTTCACCATAGGCCTCAATATGCTCCCAAATATCCCTCTGCAGACACTACTAGAAGGAAGATAGCTTCCTTCTAGTTTTTATCCTGGGATATTCCCTTTTTCTCCATTGCTCTCAATGAGCTCCCAAATGTCCAATCACAGAATGGGCAACAACAGTGTTTCCAAACTGCTGAACGAAAAGAAAAGAAAGTTTTAACTCTGCAAGATGAATATACACATCAGAAAGCGGTTTCTCATATAGCTTCCTCTCAGTTTTAATCCTGAGACATTCACCTTATCACCATTGGCCTCACAGTGCCCCCAAATATCCATTCGCAGAATGGACTGAAACAGTGTTCCAAGGTGCTGAATCATAAGACAATTTTAACTCGGTGACATGAATGCATACATCTCAAAGCACTTTCTCAGAAAGATACATTCTAGTTATTACCTGAAGACATTTTCTTTGCCATAATAGGCCTCAGTCAGCTGTGAAATGTCAATTCGCAGATTCTACCAAAAAATGTTTTCCAACTGCTGCATGAAAATAAAGATTTAACTCCTCAATTGAATGCACACATCACAAAGCGGTTTCTCAGATAGCTTCTTTCTAGTTTTTATGCTGGGATATTTGCTTTTTAGCCATTCACCTCAATCATCCCTCAAATGTCCATTCACAAAATGGACAAAAAAACCGTTTCCAAAGTGCTAAATGAAAAGAAAAGTTTAACAATGTGAGATGAATGCACATATCACAAAGCGGTTTCTTGGATAGCTTATTTCTAATTTTTATCCTTGGGTATTTGCTTTTTCAACATTGGACTCAGTGAGCTCCCAAAGGTCCATTCACAGAATGGACAGAACACTTTTTCCAAACTGCCAAGTGAAAAGAACTGTTTGACACTGCAAGATGAATGCACACATCACAAAGAGTTTCCTCAGATAACTTCTCTCTAATTTCCTTTTTTGCCATAGGCCTCAATGAGCTCCCAAATATCCCTTTGCAGATGCTACAAAAAAAGTGTTTCTAAACTACTGAATGACAAGAAAGGTTTCACTTTGTGGGATGAATGCACACACCACAAAGCGGTTTCACAGATGGATTCCTTCTACTTTTTATCTTGGGATTTTCAAGTTTTTCCTTTTGGCGTCAGTGAGATCCCAAATGTCCACTCACAGAATGGACAAAAGCAGTGTTTCCACACTGCCGAGTCAAAGGAATGCTTTAACTAAGTGAGATAAATGCACACATCACAAAGGAGTATCTCAGAAAGTTTCCTTCTACTTTTTATGTGAAGATATTTTCTTTTTCACAATAGGCTTCAATGTGCACCCAAATATCCATTTGCAGTTTCCTCAAAAACAGTGTTTCTAAACTGCTGAATGAAAAGTATGGCTTTACTCTGTGAGATGAAAGCACAAGTCACAAAACGGTTTCTCAGATAGCTTCTTCTAGTTTTTATAATAGGATATTCACTTTTTTGCCTTGGGCCTCAAATAGCTCCAAAATGTCCACTCACAGAGTGGACAAAAAGAGTGTTTTCAAACTGCTAAATAAAAAGAAATGTTTATCTCTGTGAAGTGAATGCAAACATCACCAAGCAGTTTCTCAGAAAACTTCTTTCTCGTTTTTATCTGAAGATATTTTCTTTTTCACCATAGGCCTCATTAGGCTCCCAAATATCCCTTCGCAGATTCTACAAAAAGAGTGTTTCCAAACTGCTGGATAGAAAAAAAGTTTAACTCTGTGAGATGAATGCACACATCACAAAGCGGTTTTTCAGATAATTTCTTTTAGTTTTTATCCTGGGTTATTTGCTTTTTCACCATTCGCCTCAATGAGCTCCCAAATATTCACTCACAGAATGGACAAAAACAGTTTTTCCAAACTCCTAAATGAAAAGAAAGGTTTAACTCTGCAAGGTGAATGCACATATCACAAAGCAGTATCTCAGATAACTTCCTTTGCATTATTATCCTGGGAGAGTCGCTTTTTTGCCTTTGGCCTCAATGAACTCCCAAATGTCCATTCAGAGTAGACAATCACAGTCTTTCCAAACTGCTGAATCAAAAGAAAGGTTTAATGCTCTGAAATGAATGCACTCATCATGAAGTGGTTTCTCAGATTGCTTCCTTCTGGTTTTTATCCTGGGATGTTCGCTCTTTCACCCTTGGCCTCAATGAGCTCCCAAATGTCCATTTGCAGAATGGACAAAAACAGTGATTCCAAACTGCTGAATCAAAAGAAAGGTTTAACTCTGTGGGATGAAGGCAAACATCACAAAAAGTTTCTCAGATAGCTTCCTTCTAGTTTTTATCCTGGGATATACCCCTTTTCACCATGGGACTTAATGAGTTCCAAAATGTCCATTCACAGAATGGACTAAAACAGGGTTTCCAAATTGGTGAGTCAAGAGTAAGGTTTAACTCTGTGAGATGAATGCACACATCACAAAGCAGTTTCTCAGAAAGATTCTTTCTAGTTTTTATCTGAAGTTATTTTCTTTGTCAATATAGGCATCAATGCGCTCCCAAGTATCCCTTTACTATTCTAAAAAAACAGTGTTTCCAAATTGCTGAAGAAAAAGAAGGGTTTAATTCTGGTGATGAATGCACACTTCTTAAAGTGGTTCCTCAGATAGCTTCCTTCTAGTTTTTATCCTGTGATATTCGCTTTTTCACCATTGGCCTCAATGAGCTCCATAATGTCCTTTCACAGAATGGGCAAGAACAATGTTTCCAAACTGCTGCATCAAAAGAATGGTTTAACGCTGTGAGATGAATGCACACATCACAAAGAAGTTTCTCAGAAAGCTTCTTTCTAGTTTTTATCTGAAGACATTTTCTTTTTCAGCATAGGCCTCAATTTGCTCCAAAATATCTCTTCCCAGGTTATCCAAAAACAGTGTTTGCAAACTGATGAATGAAAAGAAAGTTTTAACTCTGTGAGATGAATGCACACATCACAAACCGGTTTCTAAGATAGCTATCCTCCAGTTTATATCTTGAGATATTGACTTTTCCGCCATTGTCCTCAATGAGCTCCTGAATACCACTTCAGAGATTCTACAAAAAAAGTGTTTCTAAACTGCTGAATGAAAAGTTATGTTTCACTCTGTGATATCAATGCACACATCACAAAGCAGAGTCTCAGATAGCTTCCTTCTAGTTTTTATCCTGCAGTATTCCCTTTTTCAGCATAGGCCTCAATGAGCTCAGAAGTGTCCATTCACAGAATGGACAAAACAGTGTTTCCAAACTGCTAAATCAAAAGGAAGGTTTAACTCAGTGAGATGAATGTACACATCACAAAGCACTTTCTCAGAAAGCTTCTTTCTGGTTTTTATCTGAGCTTATTTTTTTTCACCATAGGCCTCAATGTGCCCCCAAATATCCCTTCTCAGATTCTAAAAAAGAGTGTTTCAACACTGCTGAAAGAAATGAAAGATTTAACTCTGTGAGATGAATGAACAGAACACAACGTGGTTTCTCAGATAGCTTCCTTCTAGTTTTTACACTGGGATATTCCCTTTTGCACCATTGGTCTCAATGAGTTCCCAAATGTGCATTCACAGAATGGGCAAAAACAGGGTTTCCAAACTGCTGAATCACAAGAAAGATTTAACTATATGAGATCCATGCACACATCACAAAGCAGTTTCTCAGAATGCTTCTTTCTATTTTTTATCTGTAGCTATTTTCTTTTTCACCATAGGCTTCACTGTGATCCCAAATATCCCTTCACAGATTCTATAAAAACAGCGTTTCCAATCTGCTGAATGAAAAGAAAGATTTAACTCTCCAGGATCAATGCACACATCACAGAGTGGAGTCTCAGATAGCTTCCTTCCAGTTTTTATCCTGGGGCATTCGCTTTTTCACCATAGGCTTCAATGAGCTCAAAAATGTCCATTCACAGAATGGACAAAACAGTGTTTCCAAACTGCTAAATCAAAAGAAAGGTTTAACTCAGTGAGACGAATGTACACATCACAAAACACTTTCTCAGAAAGCTTCTTTCTCGTTTTTATCTGAGCATATTTCCTTTTCACCATAGGCCTCAATGTGCCCCCAAATATCCCCTCTCAGATTCTAAAAAAGAGTGTTTCAACACTGCTGAAAGAAATGGAAGATTTTGAATGAACAGACCACAACGTGGTTTCTCAGATACCTTCCTTCTAGTTTTTACACTGGGATATTCCCTTTTGCACCATTGGTCTCAATGAGCTCCCAAATGTGCACTCACAAAATGGGCAAAAACAGTGTTTCCAAACTGCTGAATCACAAGAAAGATTTAACTATATGAGATCTATTAATACAGCACAAAGCAGTTTCTCAGGACGCTTCTTTCTATTCTTTATCTGTAGCTATTTTCTTTTTCACCATAGGCTTCACTGTGATCCCAAATATCCCTTCGCAATTCTATAAAAACAGCATTTCCAATCTGCTGAATGAAAAGAAAGATTTAACTCTGCAGGATCAATGCACACATCACAGAGTGGAGTCTCAGATAGCTTCCTTCCAGTTTTTATCCTGGGGTATTCGCTTTTTCACCGTAGGCTTCAATGAGCTCACAAATGTCCATTTGCAGAATGGACAAAACAGTGTTTCCAAACTGCTAAATCAAAAGGAAGGTTTAACTCAGTGAGACGAATGTACACATCACAAAACACTTTCTCAGAAAGCTTCTTTCTCGTTTTTATCTGATCATATTTCCTTTTCACCATAGGCCTCAATGTGCCCCCAAATATCCCTTCTCAGATTCTAAAAAAGAGTGTTTCAACACTGCTGAAAGAAAAGAAAGATTTAACTCTGTGAGATGAATGAACAGAACACAACGTGGTTTCTCAGATAGCTTTCTTCTAGTTTTTATCCTGGGATATTCCCTTTTGCACTATTGGTCTCAATGAGCTCCCAAATGTCCATTTGCATAATGGGCAAAAACAGTGTTTCCAAACTGCTGAATCAAAAGAAAGATTTAACTATGTGAGATCTATGCACACATCACAAAGCAGTTTCTTAGAACGCTTCTTTCTGGATTTTATCTATAGATATTTTCTTTTTCACCATAGGCCTCACTGTGATCCCAAATATCCCTTCACAGATTCTATAAAAACAGCGTTTCCAATCTGCTGAATGAAAAGAAAGGTTTAACACTGCAGGATCAATGCACCCATCGCAGAGTAGTTTCTCAGATATCTTCCTTCTAGTTTTTATCCTGGGATATTAGCTTTTTCACCACTGACCTCAATGAGCTCCCAAATGTCCATTTGCAGAATGGACCAAAACAGTGTTTCTAAACTGCTGAATCAAAACAAAGTTTTAGCTTTGTGAGATGAATGCACACATCACAAAGCAGTTTCTCAGAAAGCTTCTTTCTAGTTTTTATCTGAAGATATTTTCCTTTTCACCATAGGCCTCAATGAGCTCCAAAATATCCCTTTGCAGATTCTACAAAACCGTGTTTCCAAACTGCTGAATGAAAAGAAATGTTTAAGTCATGAGACAAATGCACTTATCACAAATCGGTTTCTCAGATAGCGTTCTTTTCATTTTTATCCTTGGATATTTTCTCTTTGGCAATTGGCCTCAATGATCTCATAAATGTCCATTCACAAAATGGACAAAAACACTGTTTCCAAACTGCTGAATGAAAAGAAAATTTTAACTCTGTGAGATGAATGCACAAATCACAGAGCAGTTTCTCAGGTAGATTCCTTCACGTTTTTCCTGTTATATTCACTTTTACACTATTGGCCACAAAGAGCTCCTGAAAGTCCATTCACAGAATGCACAAAAGCAGTGTTTCCAAAATACTGAATCAAAAGAATGATTTAGCTCTGTAAGACGAATGCACACAGCACAAAGCTGTTTCTCAGAAAGGTTCCTTTTGGCTTTTATCCTAGGTTATTCACTTTTTTGCCATTTGCCTCAATGAGCTGCCAAATGTCCATTTGCAGAATGGACAAAAACTCTGTTTCCATACTCTGAATGAAAACAAAGTTTAACACTATGACAGGATGAAGTCTCAATTAGCTCCCAAATATCCATTTGAAGAATGGGGAAAAAAAATTTTTTCCAAACTCCTGAATCAAAAGGAAGGTTTAACTCTGTTAGATGAACACACACATCAGAAAGCATTTTCTAAGAAAGCTTCATTCTAGTTTCTGTGTGAAGATATTTTCTTTTTAACCAGAGGCATTGATGATCTCCCAAATATCCCTTCACAGATTCTACAAAAACAGTGTTTCCAAGTTGCTGAATGAAAATAAAGGTTTAACTCTGCGAGCTGAATGCACACATCACAAAGCAGTTTCTCAGATAGCATCCTTCTAGTTTATCCTGGGATATATGCTTTTTCACCATTGGCCTGAATGGGCTCGAAAATGTCCATTTGCAGAATGGACAAAAACAGTGTTTCCAAATGGTTTAATGAAAAGAAATGTTTATCTGTTTGCGATGAATGCACTCATCACAAAGCTGTTTCTCAGGTGGCTTCACTCTGGTTTTTATCCTGGGATACTTGCTTTTCCTCCACTGGCCTCATTGTGCTCCAAATATTCCTTCCCAGATTCTACAAAAACACTGTTTCCACACTGCTGAATGAAAGGAAAGGTTTAACACTACGAGATGAATGCACACATTGAAAAGCGGTTTCTCAGATAGATTCCTTTTAGTTTTTATCCTGGGATATTCGATTTTTCTCCATTGGCTTTGATGAGCTCCCAAATGTCCATTTGCAGAATTTACAAAAAAAGTGTTTCCAAACTGCTGAATCAAAAGAAATGTTTCTCTGTGAGATGAAATTACATATCAGAAAGCAGTTCCTCAGAAATCTTCCTTCTAATTTTTATCTGAGGATATTTTTCTTTTCACCATAAGCCTCAATGTGCTCCCAAGTATCCCTTCACAAATTCTTCACAAACAGTGTTTCCAAACTGCTAATGGAAAAGAATACTTAAACTCTGCAATATGAATGCACACATCCCAAAGCAGTTTCTCATAGCTTCCTTCTGGGTTTTTACTTTTGGATATTCTCTTTTCTGCAATTGGTCTCAATGAGCTCCCAAAATCCATTCGCAGAATGGACAAAAACAGTGTTTCCAAACTGCTGAATGAAAAGAAATGTTTACCTCTGCGAGATGAATGCACACATCAGAAAGCAGTTTCTCAGATAGCTTCCTTCTAGTTTTTATCCTGGGATATACACTTTTTCACCTTTGGCCTAAATGATCTCCCACATCTCCATTCACTGAATGGAAAAAAAAACAGTGTTTGCAAACTGCTGAATCAAAAGAAAGTTTAAACTCTGCGAGATCATTGCACACATCACAAAGCAGTATCTCAGAAAGCTTTATTGTAGTTTTCTTCTGAAGATATTTTGTTTTTCACCTTAGACCTCAATGCCCTCCCAAATATGCCTTTGTAGGTTCTAAAAAAAGTGTTTCCAAACTGCTAAATGAAAAGAAAGCATTGACTCTATGAGACCATCAAAAAGCGGTTTCTCAGATAGCTTCATTCTGGTTTTTATCCTGGGATGTGCACTCTTTTGCCATTGGCCTCAGAGCTCCCTAATATGCATTCGCAGAAGAGACAAAAATAGTGTTTCCAAACTGCTGAATCAAAAGAAAGGTTTAACTCTATGAGTTGAAGGAACCCATCACAAAGAAGTTTTTCTGAAAGCTTCTTTCTAGATTTAATCTGAAGATAATTTTTTTACCATAGGCCCCATTATGCTCCTAAATACCCCTTAGCAGATTTTATAAAAGCAGTTTTTCCAAACTAATGAATGAAAATAAAGGATTAACTCTATGAGAAGAAGGCAGACATCACAAAGCAATTTCTCAGGTCGCTTCCTTCTAGTTTTTATCCTGCAATATTTGCTTTTTCAGCATTGGCCTAAATGAGCTCCCAAATGTATGTTCCCAGAATATGCAAAAACAGTATTTACAAACTGCCAAATCAAAAGGAAAATTTATCTGTGTGCAACGAATGCACATATCACAAAGCTATTTCTCAGGTAGCTTAGTTCTGGTTTTTATCCTGGGATATTCACTTTTCCTCCATTGGCCTCAATGAGCTCCCAAATGTCCATTCACAGAAGGGACAAAAACACGGTTTCCAAACTGCTGAATCAAAAAAAAGGTTTAACTCTGTGAGATGAAGGAACTTATCACAAATCAGTTTCTCAGAAGGCTTCTTTCTAGTTTAAATCTGAAGATATTTTCTTTTTCACCATGGGACCAAATGTGCTCCCAATTACCCCTTCACAGATTCTACAAAAACAGTGTTTCCAAACTGCTGAATGAAAAGAAAAGATTACCTCTACAAGATGAAGGCAGACATCACAAAGCTTTTTCTCAGATGGCTTTCTTCTAGTTTTTACCCTGGGATATTCACTTTTTCACCATTGGCCTCAATGAGCTGCCAAATGTACATTCACAAAATGGAGAAAAACAGTGTTCCCAATTGCTGAATCAAAAGAAAAGTTTAACTGTGTGAGATGAAGGAACACATCACAAAGCAGTTTCTCACAAAGCTTCTTTCTAGTTTTATGCTGAAGATATTTTCTTTTTCACCAGAGGCTCCAATGCCCTCCCCCAAATATCTCTTCACAGATTCATCAAAAATAGTGTTTCCAAACTGCTGAAGGAAAAGAATGGTTTAACTCCACGAGATGAATGCAAACATCTCAAAGCAATTTCTCATAGCTTCCTTCTGGGTTTTTATTTTTGGATATTCGCTTTTTTACTATTGGCCTCAATGAGCTCAAAAATCAATTCACAGAATGGACAAACACAGTGTTTCCAAACTGCTGAATGAAAAGAAACATTTTTCTCAGAGAGATGAATGAGCATATGACAAAGTGGTTTCTCCAATAGCTTCTTTCCAGTTCTTACCCTGGTATATTCTTTTTTTCACCGTTGGCCTCAAAGAGCTCCCAAATGTCCATTCATATAATGGACAAAAACAGGGTTTCCAAACTGCTGAATCAAAAGAATGGTTTAACTCTGTGAGATGCATGCACAAATCCCAAAGCAGTTTCTCAGAAAGATTCTTTCTAATTTTTATCTGAAGATATTTCCTTTTTCATCATTAGCCTCAATCTGATCCAAAAGATTGCTTCTCAGATTCTACAAAAACAGCATTTCCACAGTGCCGAATCAAAAAAAAATGAAACCTGCAAGATGAATGCACATATCACAAGGCAGTTTCTCAGATAAATTCCTTCTAGTTTTTATCCTGGTATATTAGCTTTTTCATCTTTAGTGTCAACGGGCTCCCAAATCTCCTTTCACAGAATTGACAAATCCGTCTTTCCAAACAGCTGAATGAAAAGAAAGATTTAACTCTATGAGATGAATGCACATATCACTAAGCTGTTTCTCACGTAGCTTCCTTCTAGTTTTTATCCTGGGATATTCGCTTTCTCACCACTGGCCTAGATGAGCTCCCAAATATCCATTCACAGAAAGGACAAAAGCAGTGTTTACAAACTGCTGAATCAAAAAAAAATTTAACTCTGTGAGATGAAGGCACACATCACAACGCAGTTTCTCAGAAAGCTTCTTTCTATTTTTTATCTAAAGATATTTTCTTCTTAAGCATAGGCCACAACATTACCCAATTATTGCTTCACAGATTCTACAAAAACAGTGTTTCCAAACTGCTGAACAAAAAGAAAGGTTTAATTATGAGTGATTAATGCACACATCACAAAACGATTTCTCAGGTAGCTTCTTTCTAGTTTTCATCATGGGATTTTTGTTTTTTGCAATTGGCCTCAATGAGCCCCCATATGTCCATTTGCAGAATGGACAAAAATGTGTTTCCAAACTGTTATATGAAAAGAAATGTTTACCTCTGAGAGATGAATGCACACATCACAAATCACTTTATCAGATAGCTTCCTTCTAGTTTTCATCCTAGAATATTTGCTTTTTTGCCATTGGCCTCAATGAGCTATGAAATGTCTATTCACAGAATGGACAAAAATAGTGTTTCCAAATTTCAGAATCAAATGAAATTTTTAACTCTGTGAGATGAAGGCACACATCACAAAGCAGTTTCTAAGAAAGCTTCTTTCCAGTTTTTATCTGAAGATATTTTCTTTTCCAACACAGGCCTCAGTGCACTCCCAAATATCTCTTCACAGACTCTACAAAAACAGTGTTTCCAAACTGTGAATGAAAAGCCTGTTTAACTCTGTGAGATAAATGTACACATCAAAAAGTCATTTCTCAGATAACTTCCTTCTAGTTTTATCCCGGAATACTCACTTTTTTGACATTGGCTTCAAAGAGCTCCCAAATGTCCATTCACAGAATGAACAAAAATAATATTTCCAAACTGCTGAATCAAAAGAAAGGTTTCACTCTGAGAGGTATGCAGACATCCAAAAGTGGTTTCTCACAAAGCTTCCTTCTAGTTTTATCCTGGGATATTCGTTTTTTCACCATTGGCCTCAATGAGCTCCCAAATGTCCATTCGCAGAATGGACAAAACAGTTTTTCCAAACTGCTGAATGAATATAAATGTTTCACTCTGTGAGATGAATGCACATTGGAAAGTGGTTTCTCAGAAAATTTCTTCCAGCTTTTATCTTGAGATGATCTCTTTTTCACCTTTGGCCTCAATGAGCTAACAAATATGCATACACAGAATGGACAAAAACAGTGTTTCCAAACTGTTGAGTCAAAAAAATTTTTTAACTCTGTGAGATGAATACACACATCACAAGGCCATTTCTCAGATAGATTCCTTTTAGTTTTTATCCAGGTATGCTCACTATTTTGCATTTGACCTCAATGAGCTCCAAAATATGCATACATAGAGTGGAGAAAAACAGTATTTCCAACCTGCTGAATGAAAAGTGAGGTTTAACTCTGTGAGATGAATGCACACGTCACTAAGTGGTATCTCAGGTAGATTCCTTCTAGTTTTTATCATGGGATAATGGATTTTTTGCAATTGGCTTGGGTGAGCTCCAAAACGTCCATTCGCAGAATGGACAAAAACAGTGTTTCCAAACTACTTAATAAAAAGAAAGGTTAAACTCTGTGAGATGAATGCACACATCACAAAGTAGTTTCTCAGAAATCTTCTTTCTAGTTTTTATCTGAAGATATTTTGTTTTCATCATAGGCCTCAATGCACTCACAAATATCAATTGAGAGATTCTACAAAAACAGTGTTTCCAAACTTCTGAATGAAAAGGAGGGTTTCACTCTGCGAGGTGAATGCACACATCATAAAGCACAAAGTGGTTTCTCACACAGCTTCATTCTAGTTTTTGTCCTGCGATATTTGCTTTTTTGCCATTGGCCTGAATGAGGTCCCAAATGTCCATGCACAGAAAGGACAAAAGCAGTTTTTCCAAACTGCTGAATCAAAATAAGGATTTAAATCTGCCAAAAGAATGCACACATCCCAAGGCAGTTTCTCAGATAGCTTCCTTCTAGATTTTATACTGGGATATTTGCTTTTTCACCATTGGCCTCAATGAGCTCCCAAATGTCCATTCATAGAATGGACAAAAACAGTGTTTCCAAACTGCTGAATCAAAAAAAAAATTTAACTCTGTGAGATGAATGCAAATATCACAAGGCAGTTTCTCAGATAGATTCCTTCAAGTTTTTATCCTGGTATAACAGCTTTTTGCCTTTGGCCTAAATGAGCTCCCAAATCTCCATTTGCATAATGGATAGAAACAGTGTCTCCAACTTGCTGAATGAAAAGAAAGGTTTAACTCTATGAGATGAGTGAACACATCACAAAGCGGTTTCTCAGATATCTTTCTTCTAGTTTTTATCCTGGGATATTCGCTTTTTCACCATTGGCCTAGATGAGCTCAAAAATGTGCTTTTGCAGAATGGACAAAACAGTTTTTCCAAACTGCTGAATGAAAATAAATGTTTAACTCTGTGAGATGAATACACACATCATAAGACTGTTTCTCAGAAAGCTTCTTTCTACTTTTTATCTGAAGATATTTTCTTTTTCACCATAGGCTTCAATATGCTCCCAAATATCCCTTCACAGATCCTACAAAAACAGTGTTTCCGAACTGCTGAATGTAAAGAAAGGCTTATCTCTATGAGATGAATGCATGCGTCACAAAGTTGTTTGTCAGATAGCTTCCTTCTAGTTTTTGTCCTGGGATATTCACTTTTTTGCCTTGTCTTCATTGAGCTCCTAAATGTCCATTCACAGAATGGACAAAAATAGTGTTTACAAACTGCTGTATGAAAAGAAAGTGTTAACTCTGTTAGATGAACGCACACATCACAAAGCGGTTTCTCAGATAGATTACTTCTAGTTTTTATCGTGGGATATTCACTTTTTGCCATTGGCATCAATGAGATCCTAAATGTCCTTTCGCAGAATGGACCAAAACAGTGTTTCAAAAATGCAGAATCAAAAGAAAGGTTTAGCTCTGTGAGATGAAAGCACACATCATAACGCAGCTTCTCAGAAACCTTCTTTCTAGTTTTTATCTAAAGATATTTCCTTTTTCACCATAAGCCTTAACACGCTCCCAAATTTCCCTTCACAGATTCTTAAAAAAAGTGTTTCCAAACTGCTAAATGAAAAGAAAAGTTTATCTCTGTGAGGCAAAGGCTCACATCACAAAGCAGTTTCTCAGATAGCTTCCTTCTAGTTTTTATCCTGGGATATTTGCTTTTTCCCTTTTGGCCTCAGTGAGCTCCCAAATGTACTTTTGCAGAATGGACAAAAACAGAGTTTCCAAACACCTGAATCAGAAGAAAAGTTTAACCTTGTGAGACGAATGCAAACATCACAAAGCACTTTCTCAGAAAGCTTCTTTCTTTTTTTTATCTCGAGATATTTTATTTTTCACCAAAGGCCTCAATGCACTCCGAATTATCCCTTTGCAGATTTTACAAAAAGAGTGTTTTCAAACTTCTGGCTAAAAAGGAAAGTTTAACTCTACGAGATGAATGCACACATTACAAAGTGGTTTCTCAGATAGATTCCTTCTAGGTTTTATCTGAAGTTACTTTATTTTTCACCATAGACATCAATGCACTCCTAAATATCACTTGACAGATTCTACAAAACAGTGTTTCCAAACAGTTGAATTCAAAGAAAACTTTGTCTATGAGAGATGATTGCCCACATCACAAAGTGGTTTCTCTGATACCTTCCTACTAGTTTTTATCCTGGGACGTTTACTTTTTCACCATTGTCCTCAATAAGCTCAAAATGTCCATTGACAGAATAGACAAAAACATTGATTCAAAACTGTTGAATTGAAAGAAAGTTTTAACTCTGTGAGATGAATGCACCCATCACAAAGCAGATCCTCAGATAGCTTCCTTCTAGTTTTTATCCAGGGATATTCGCATTTTCCTCATGGGCCTCAATGAGCTCACAAATGTCAATTTGCAGAATTGAAAAAGACAGTGTTTACACTGCTGTATGAAAACAGAGGTTTAACTGTGCCAGAGGAATGTACACATGACAAAGCAGTTTCTCAGAAAGCTTCTTTCTAGTTTTTATCTGAGGATATTTCCTTTTTCACCATGGTCCTGAACACACTTCCAAATATCCCTTTTCATATTCTACAAAAAAAGTGTTTCTGAACTGCTAAATGAAAAGAAGTTTTAACCCTGCAAGATGAATGCACACATCACAAAGAGGTTTCTCAGATAGCTTCCTTCTAGTTTTTATCCTGGGATATTCACTTTTTCGCCATTGGCCTCAATGAGATCCCAAATGTCCATTCGCAGAATGGGCAAAAACAGTATTTCCAAACTGCTGAAACAAAATAAAGGTTTAACTCTTTGAGATGAATGCACACATCACAAAACAGTATCTCAGAAAGCTTCTGTTAGTTTTCAATTTGAAGATATTTTCTTTTTCACCATAACCTCATTATGCTCCCAAATATCCTTCCACAGGTTCTACAAAAAGAGTGCTTCCAAAATGCTGAATGAAAAGAATGCTTTAACTCTGCAAGCTGAATGCACACATCACAAATTGGTTTCACAGATAGCTTCCTTCTAGTTTTTATTGGGGATATCCAGTTTTTCACAACTGGCCTCAAAGATCTCCAAAATGTGCATTTGTAGAATAGACAAAAACAGTGTTTCCAAATTACTGAATCAAAAGAAAGGTTTATTTCTGTGAAATGAATGCACATATCACAAAGCAGTTTCTCAGAAAATTATTTCTGGTTTTTATCTGAAGATATTGTCTCTTTCACCATATGCCTCAATGCACTACCTAATATCTGTTGGCAGATTCTATTAAAAAATTGTTTCCAAACTGCTGAATGAAAAGAAAGGTTTAACTCTGTGAGATAAATGCAGACATCACAGAGCAGTTTCTCAGATAGCTTCCTCCTAGTTTTTATCCCGGCATATGCACGTTTTTTGCCTTTGGCCTCAACGAGCTCCCTAAAGTCCATTGGCAGAATGGACAACAATGGTGTTCTCAAACTGCTGAAAGAAAAGAAAAGTTTAACTCTGCGAGATGAATGCACACATCATTAAGCAGTTTCTCAGATAACTTCTTTCTAGTTTTTATCCTGGGATGTTCACTTTTTCTCCATTGGCCTAAATGCACTCCAATTGTTCATTCACAGAATGGAGAAAAACAGTGTTTCCAAACTGCTGAATGAAAAGAAAGGTTTAACTCTGCAAGCTGAATGCACACATCCCAAAGCAGTTTCCCAGATAGCTTCCTCCTAATGTTTATCCAGGGACATTCGATTTTTGGCCATTGGCTTCATTGCGCTCCCAAATGTCCATTCACAGAATGAACAAAAACATTGTTTCCAAACTGCTGAATCAAAAGAAAGGTTTAGCTATGTGAGATCAATGCACACATCACAAAGCAGTTTCTCAGACATCTTTTTTCTAGTTTTTATCTGAAGATATTTTCTTTTTCACCATAGGCCTCAATGTACTCCCAAATATCCCTTCACAGATTCTACAAAACAGTGGTTCCAAACTGCTGAAAGAAGAAAGTTTTAGCTCTTTGAGATGAGTGCACTCATCAGAAAGCAGTTTCTTAGAGAGCTTCTTGATAGTTTTTGTAATGGGATATTCGTTTTTTTGCCTTTGGCCTCCATTATCTACCAAATGTCCATTCGGAGAATGGACGAAAAAATTGTTTTAAAATGCTGAATCAAACAAAGGTTTAACTCTGTGAGATGGATGACACACCACAAAACAGTTTCTAAGAAAGATTCTTCCTAGTTTTTATCTGAAGTTATTTTCTTTTTGTACATATGCCTCATTGAGCTTCCAAATGTCCATTTGCATATTCTACAAAACAGTTCTTCCAAAAGCACAGTTGAAAAGCAGAATAAAAAGAAAGATTAAACTCCTCAACCTTAATGCAAACATCACAAATCTGTTTCTCAAATAATTTCCTTCCAGTATTTATCCTGGGATAATTGCTTTTTTGCCTTTGGCTTCAATGAGCTCCAAAATGTCCATTCACAGAATGGACAAATACAGTGTTTCCAAACTGCTGAATCAAAAGTAAAATTTATTCTGTGAGATCAATGCACACATCACAGAATGGTTTCTCAGATAGCTTCCCTCTAGTTTTTATATTGGGATATTCTGTTTTTCTCCACTGGCCTCAATGAGCACCCAAATGTTCACTTGCAGATTGGACAAAAACAGTGTTCCACAAGAGCTGAATGAAAAGAAAGTTTTAATTCTGTGAGTTGAATACAAACATAACACAGTGGCTGCTGAGATAGCTTCCACTTAGTTTTTTTCCTGGGACACTTGTTTTTTTGCCATTGGCTTCAATGAGCTTCAAAATGTCCATTCTCAGAATGGACAAAAACAATGTTTCCAAAATGCTTAATAAAAAGAAAGTTTTAACTGTGTGAGAAAAATGCACACATCACAAAGCAGTTTCTCAGAGAGCTTCTTTCTAGTTTTTATTTGAAGATATTTTGTTTATCACCATAGGCCTCAATGCACTCCCAAATATCCCTTCACAGTTTCTACAAAAACAGTATTTTCAAACTGCTGAATGAAAAATAGTTTTAACTCTGGGAGATGAATGCTCCCATCACAAAGTAGTTCCCCAGATAGTTTCCTTCTGTTTTTTATCCTGGGATATTCGCTTTTCCTCATTGGCCTAAATTAGATCTCAAATATCCATTTGCAGAATGGACAAAAACAGTGTTTCCAAGCTGCTGAATCAAAATAAAGGTTTAACTGTGTGAGATGAATGCACACATCACAAAGCAGTTTCTCAGATAGCTTCTTTCCAGTTTTTATCCTGGGATATTCACTTTTTCCTGATTGACCTCAAACAGCTCCCAAATGTCCATTTTCAGGATGGAAAAAAACATTGTTTCCAAACTCCTGAATTAAAAGAAAGTTTTCATCTGTGAGATGAATGCAAACACCACAAAGCAGTTTCTCAGAAAGCTTCTTTCTAGTTTTTAACTGAAGATATTTTATTTTTCACCATAGGCCTCATTGTGCTCCAAATATTCCCTCATAGATTCTACAAAAATGGTGTTTCCAAACTGATCGATGAAAGAAAGGAGTAACTCTGCAAGATGAATACACACATCACTAAGCAGTTTTTTTAAGATAATTTCCTTCTAGGTTTTATCATGCTACATTTGCTTTTCCCCATTGGCCTCAATGAGCTCCAAAATGTCCAATCACAGAATGGACAAAAACAGTGTTTCCAAACTGCTGAATCAACATAAAGATTTAACTCTCTGAGATGAATGCATACATCACAAGCTGTTTCTCAGATAGCTTATTTCTAGTTTTCATCTGAAGATATTTTCTTTTTCATCATAGGTTTCAATGCACTCCCCAATATCCATTCACAGATTTTTAAAAAAATATTGCTTGCAAACTGTTGAAGGAAAAGAAAGGCATAACTGTGAGATGAATTCACACATCACAAAGATATTTCTCAGATAGCTTCCTCTTAGTTTTTATCTTGGGACATTCAATTTTTCACCCTTGGCCTCAGTGAGCTCCCAAATGTCCATTTGCAGATCTACAAAAAAATGGTTTCCAAACTGCTGAATGAAAAGAAAGATTTAATTCCTTGAGATGAATGCTCACATGACATAGATGTTTCTCAGATAGCTTCCTCTCAGTTTTCATCCTTGTACATTTGATTTTTGGCCATTGGCCACAATGAGCTTCAAAATGTCCATTCATCGAATGAACAGAAAAAGTGTTTACAAACTGCTGAATGAAAAGGAAGGTTTAATTCTAAGAGATGAATGCCCACATCACAAAGCATTTTCTCAGATTGCTTCTTTCTAGTTTTTGTCATGGGATATTCACTTTTTTGTCATTGGCCTTGATTAGCTCCCAAATATCCATTCACAGAATGGACTAAAACAGTGTTTCCTAACTTCTGAAACAAAAGAAAGGTTTAACTCTGTGAGATGAAAGCACACATCACAAAGCAGTTTCTCAGAAAACGTCTTTCTAGTTTTTATCTGATGATATCTACCTTAGGCCTCAATGCACCACAAATTTCCATTTGCAGATTTTAGAAATCAGTGTTTCCAAACAGCTGAATGAAAAGAAAGATTTTACTCCTCGAGGTGAATGAACACATCACAAAGTGGTTTCTTAGATTGCTTCCGTCTCTTTGTATCGTGGGATATCCTCTTTTTCACCTTCGGCCTCAATGAGCTTCCAAATGTAGATGTGTAGAATGGAAAAAACAGTGTTTCCAAACTGCTGAATCAAGAGAAGGTTTTTGTCTCTCTGAGATGAAAGCACACATCACAAAACGGTTTCTCAGATAGATTCCACTTATTGTTTATGCTGGGATGTTCGCTTTTTCACCATTGGCCTCAATAAGCTCTCAAATGTCCATTCACAGAGTGGACAAAAACAGTGTTTTTCAAACTGATGAATCAAAAAAAGGTTTATCTCAGTGAGGTGAATGCTTGCTTCACAAAGCAGTTTCTCAGAAATCCTCTTTCTAGTTTTTATCTGAAAATATTTTCTTTTTCACTATAGGCCTCAATGCGCTCCCAACTGTCCATTCTCAGATTCTACGAAAACAGCTTTTCCAAACTGCTGAATAAAAAGAAAGATATAACTCCTCGAGCTGAATGCACACATCACAAACAGGTTTACCAGATAGCTTCCTTCTGTTTTCATTCTGGAATATTTGGTATTTCACCATTGGCATCAGCGAGGTCCCAAATGCCCTTTTGCAGAATGGACAAAAGCAGTGTTTCCAAATTGATGAATCAAAAGAAAGTTTAAATCTGTTAGATGAATGCACACATCACAAAGTGGTTTCTAAGACAGTTTCCTTCTGTTTTTATTCTGGGATATCCCCTTTTTTGCCATTGGCATCAAAGAGCTCCAAAATGTCCATTCACAGAATGGACAAAAACAGTGTTTCTAAACAGCGGAATGAACACAAATATTTAACTCGTGAGATTAATGCACACATCACAAAGCAGTCTCTCAGAAAGCTTCTTTCTAGATTTATCTGAAGATATTTCCTTTTTCACCATAGGCCTCAATGAGATCCCAAATATCCCTTTGCAGATTCTTCAAAAACAGTTTTTGCAAACTGCTGAATAAAAAGAGAGTTTTAACTTGGCAAAATGAGTGCACACATCAAAAGCAGTTTCTCAGATAGCTTCCTTGTAGTTTTTATCCTTGTATGTTTGCTTTTTTGTCATTGACCTCAATGAGCTCCCAAATGTCCATTTGCAGGATGAAAAAAAACAGTGTCTCAAAACTGCTGAATGAAAGGAAATGTTTAACTCTGTGAGATTAATGCATACATTACAAAGCAGTTTCTCAGAGAGCTTCCACATAGTATTCATCCTGGGATGTTCGATTTCTTGCCATTGGCCTCACTGAGCTCCCAAATGTCCATTCACAGAATGGACAAAAATAGTTTCCAAATTGCAGAATCAAAAGAAACTTTTAACTCTGTGAGATGAGTGCATATGTCACAAAGCAGTTTCTCAGAAAGACTCTTTCTAATTTTTATATGAAGGTATTTTGTTTTTAATCATAGGCCTCAATGTGCTCCCGAATATTTCTTTGCAGATGCTACAAAAAGAGTTTTTCCAAATTGCTTAATGAAAAGAAAGGTTTACCTCAGTGAGATGAATGCATACATCACAAAGAGGTTTCTCAAGTAAGTTCAGTCTCATCTTCTTCCTGGGATAGTCCCTTTTTCGACATTGGCCTCAATGAGTTCTCAAATGTCCATTCAGAATGGAAGAAAAAAGCAGTTTTCAAAACTGTTGAAGGAAAGGAAAGATTTAACTCTGCTAGATGAATGCACACATCACAAAGCAGCTTCACAGAGTGCTTCCTTCTGTTTTTGTTCTGGGTTATTTGCTTTTTTTTGCAATTGGCCCCCATGAGCTCCCTTAAGTCCATTTGAAAAATTGACAAAAACAGTGTTTCCAAACTGCTGAATGAAAAGAAAGATTTAAGTCTGTGAGACGAATGCAAGCACCCAAACTGTTTTCTCAGATAGCTTCCTCTAAGTTTTTATCCTGGGACATTCCCTTTTTCACTATTGGCTTGAAAGAGCAGCAAAATGTCCATTTGCAGAAAAGACAAAAACAGTGTTTCCAAACTGCTGAATCACAAGAAAGTTTTAACTCTCTGAGACAAATGCACACATCAGAAAGAGGTTTCTCATAGTGCTTCCTTCTAGTTTTTATCCTGGGATATTCTCTTCTTTGCCATTGACCTCAATGAACTCCCAAATGTCCATTTGCATAATGGGCAAAAACAAAGTTTAAAAACACTAAATCAAAAGAATGGTTTAACCCTGAGAGATGAATGCACACATCACAAAGCAGTTTTTCAAAAAGATTTTTTTTGTTTCCATCTGAAGATATTTTCTTTTCAACCATAAGCCTCAATTCCCTTCCTAATGTCCATTCATAGATTCTACAAAAAAAGTGTTTTGGAACTGCAGAATGAATAGAAAGATTTAACTCTGTGAGATGAATGCACACATCACAAAGTGGTTTCTCAGACAGATTCCTCTTAGTGTTTATCCTGGGGCATTCCATTTTTTGCCATTGTCCTTAATGAACACCAAAATGTTCATTCACAGCATGGACAAAAACAGCGTTTCCAAACTTCTGACTCAAAAGAAACATTTAACTCTATGAGATGAATGCACATATCACAAAGAAGTTTCTCAGAAAGCTTCTTTCTAGTTTTTATCTGAAGGTATTATATTTTCACCCCAGTTCTCAATGTGCACCCAAATATCCCTTTGCAGATTCTGGTTTCTCAGATAGATTCCTCTTAGTGTTTATCCTGGGACATTCCATTTTTTGCCATTGTCCTTAATGAACACCAAAATGTCCGTTCAGAGAATGGACAAAAACAGTGTTTCTAAACTGTTGAATCAAAAGAAAGGTTTAATTCTGTAAGGTGAATGCAGACATCACAAAGCACTTTCTCAGAAAGCTTCTTTCTGGTTTTTATCTGAAGATCCCTTCACATATTCTACATAAACAGTGTTTCCAAACTGTTGAAGCAAAAGAAACTTTTAACTCTGTGAGATGAATACACACATCAGAAAAATGTTTCTGAGATAGCTTCCATCTAGTTTTTATCCTGGCATATTCACTTTTTCACCATTGGCCTCAATGAGCTCCCAAATGTCCAGACAAAAACAGTGTTTCCAAACTACTGAACAAAAAAAAGGATTAACTATGTGATATGAATGCACACATAACAGAGCGGTATCTCAGATAGTTTCCTTCTAGTTTTTATCCGGTGATATTTGCTTTTTTGCCATTTGCCTCAATGAGCTCCTATATGTCCACCACAGAATGGACAAAAACAGTTTTTCCAAGCTGCTAAATGAAAAGAAAGTTTTAACTCTGCGAGTTGAATGCACATTTCACAAAAAGTTTTCTCAGATAGCTTCCTTCTTCTTTTCATCCTGGGACATTGAATTTTTCATCATTGGGCTTAAAGGACTCCGAAATGTCCAATTGCAAAATAAACAAAAACAGTGTTTCCAAACAGCTGAATTAAAAGAAAGGTGTAACTTTGTGAGATGAATGCATACAACATAAAGCAGTTTCTCAGAAAGCTTCTTTCTATTTTTCATCTGAAGGTATTTTCTTTTCCATCATAGGCCTCAATGTGCTCCCAAATATACCTTCACAGATTCTACAAAAAGAGTGTTTCCAAACTGCTGAATGAAAAGAAAGGTTTAACTCTGTGAGATGAATGAGCACATCACAAGGCAGTTTCTCAGATAGCTTCCTCTGAGTTTATATCCTGTGATATTCAATTTTTTGCCATTTGCCTCAGTGAGCTCCCAAATGTGCATTCCAAGAATGGACAAATAAAGTGTTTCCAAACTGTTGAATCAAAACAAAGTTTTAACTCAGCGAGATGAAAACACACATCACAAAGCAGTTTCTCAGATAGATTCCTCTTAGTTTTTATCCTAGGACATTCAATTTTTCATCATTGGGCTTAAAGGTCTCCCAAATATCCAGTCGAAGAATAAAAAATACAGTGTTTCCAAACAGCTGAATTAAAAGAAAGGTGTAACTTTGTGAGGTGAATTCATACAACACAAAGCAGTTTATCAGAAAGCTTCTATTTCTTATCTGAAGATATTTTCTTTTTCATCATAGGTCTCAATGTGCTCCCAAATATACCTTCACAGATTCTACAAAAAGAGTGTTTCCAAACTGCTGAATGAAAAGAAAGTTTTAACTCTGCGAGATGAATGTGCACATCACAAGGCAGTTTCTCAGATAGCTTCCTCTGAGTTTATATCCTGTGACATTCAATTTTTCGCCTTTTGCCTCAATGAGCTCCCAAATGTGCATTCCAAGAATGGACAAATAAAGCGTTTCCAAACTGCTGAATCAAAAGAAAGGTTTAACTCTGTGAGATGAAACACATCATCACAAAGGAGTTTCTCAGATAGTTTCCTCTTAGTTTTTATCCTGGGACAATTTGATTTTTTGCCATTGGCCTCAAAGAGCTCCCAAATGTCCATTCAGAGAATGGACAAAAGCAGTGTTTCTAAACTTTTGAATTCAAAGAAAGGTTTAAATGTCTGAGATGAATGCACACATCACAAAGCAGTTTCTCAGAAAGCTACTTTCTCATTTTTATCTGAAGATATTTTCTTTTTCAAAATAGGCCTCAAAGCACTCCCAAATATCCCTTCACAGATTCTACAGAAACAGTGTTTCCAAGCTGCTGAATGTAAAGAAAGGTTTCACTTGCTAGATGAATGTGCACATAACAAAGCAGTTTCTCAGATAGTTTCCTCTGAGTTTATATCCTGTGACATTCAATTTTTCACCATTGTCCTCAAAGAGCTCTGAAATGTGCATTTCCAGAATGGACAAATAAAGTGTTTCCAAACTGCTGAATCAAAATAAAGTTTAACTCTGTGAGATGAATGCACACATCACAGAGCAGTTTCTCAGAAAGCATTTTTTCTAGTTTTTATCTACAGATATTTTCTATTTGAACATAGGCCTCAATGCACTCTGAAATAACCCTTCACAGATGCTAAAAAAAGAGTTTTTCCAAACTGCTTAATGAAAAGGAAGGTTTACCTCTTTGAGATGAATGAACACATCATAAAAAGTTTTCTAATATAGCTTTCTTCTAGTTTTCATCCTGAAATATTTTCTTTTTCGCCATTGGCCTCAATGAGCTCCCAAATTTCCATTTGCAGAATGGAAAAAAACAGTGTTTCCAAACTTCTGAATCAAAAGAAAGTTTTAAGTCTGTGAGATGAATGCACACATCACAAAGTAATTTCTCAGAAAGTTTCTTTCTATTTTTATCTGAAGATATTTTCTTTTTCACCATAGGCCACAATGTGCTCCCAAATATTTATTTGCAGATGCTACAAAAACAATTTTTCCAAATTGCTTAATGAAAAGAAAGTTTTACCTCAACAAGATGAATGCACACATCATATGGGTTTCTCAGATAGCTTCCTTCTCATTTTCTTCCTGGGATATTCGTTTCTTCGCAATTGGCCTCAGTGAGCTCCCACATGTCCATTTGCAGAATGGAAATTAAACAGTGTTTCAAAACTGCTGAGTGAAAGGACAGGTTTAACTCTGCTAGATGAATGCACACATCACAAAGCAGTTTCACAGATAGCTTCTTTCTGTTTTTATTCTAGGTTATTTGCTTTTTTGCCATTGGCCTCAATGAGCTCCCTAAAGGCCGTTTGCAGAAAAGACAAAAACAGTGTTTCCAAACCACTGAATCAAAAGAAAATTTTAACTCTCTGAGACAAATGCACACATCACAAAGCAGTTTCTCATAGAGCTTCCTTCTAATTTTTATCCTGGGATATTTTCTTCTCACCTTTGACCTCAAATAGCTCCCAAATGTCCATTCACAGAATGGACAAAAACAGTGTTTAAAAGCTGCTGAAACAAAAGAATGGTTTAACCCTGTGAGACGAATGCAAACATCACAAAGCAGTTTTTCAAAAAGATTTTTTATAGTTTCTATTTGAAGATGATTTCTTTTCAACCATAGGCCTCAGTTCACTCCCAAATGTCCATTTGTAGATTCTACAAAAACAGTGTTTCCAAACTGCTGAAAGAAAAATAAGATTTACATCCTCAAGCTGAATGCACACATCACAAAGAGCTTCCTTCTGCTTTTATAGCTTCCTCAGATAGCTTCCTTCTGTTTTTATACTATGATATTCACCTTATTGCCATTGGCCTCAATGAGCTCCCAAAAGTCCACTGACAGAATTGACAAAAACAGTGTTTCCAAACTGCTGAACCAAAAGAAAGTTTTAACTCTGTGCGGTGAATGCACATATCACAAAATGGTTTCTCAGATAGCTTCCTTCCAGTTTTTATCCTGGGATATTTGCTTTTTCCCCATTGGTCTCAATGAGATCCCAAATATCCATTCATAGAGTGGACAAAAACAGTGTTTCCAAACTGCTAAATCAATAACAGGTTTAACTCTGTGCAATGAATGCACAATCACAAAGCAGTTTTTCAGAAAGCTTCTTTCTAGTTTTTACCTGAAGACATTTTCTTTTTCATCATAAGCTGCACTGTGCTCCCAAATATTTCTTTGCAGATTCCACAAATACAATTTTTCCAAACTGCTTTATGAAAAGAAAGGTTTATCTCTGCGAGATAAATGCACGCATCACAAAGATTTTTCTCTGTCAGCTTCTTTCTGGTTTCTTCCTGGGATATTCATTTTTTTTGCCATTAACCTCAAAGAGCTCCTAAATGCCCATTCACAGAAAGGAAAAAAGCAAAGTTTCAAAACTTCAGAATGAAAGAAAAGGTTTAACTCTGCAAGATGAATGCACACGTCACAAAGCAGTTTCTCAGATAGCATCCTCTTGTTTTTATTCTGGGTTTTTTCCTTTTTTGCCATTGGCCAAATGAGCTCCCAAATATCCAGATGGAAACAGTTTTTCCAAACTACTCAATCAAAAGAAAGTTTTAACTATGTAAGATGCATTCACACACAGCAAAGAAGTTTCTCAGAAAGCTTCTTTCTGGTTTTTATCTGAAGATATTTTCTTTTTCATCACAGGCCTCAAGGTGTTCCCAAATATCCCTTGGCAGATTCTACAAAACCAGTGTTTCAAAACTGCTGAATGAAAAGAAAAGTTTAACTCAGACAGATGAATGCACACATCACAAAGCAGTTTCTCATATAGCTCCCTTCTACTTTTTATCTGGTGATATTCCCTTTTTCACCATTGGCCTCAATGAGCAACCATATGTCCACTCACAGAATGGACAAAAATAGTGTTTCAAAACTGCGGAATGAAAAGAAAGGTTTAACTCAGTGAGATGAGTTTACATATCACATAAAGGTTTCTCAGATAGCTTCCTTCTACTTTTCATTCTGGGATATTCGATTTTTTGTCATTGGCCTGAATGAGCTCTGAAATGTCCATTCCCAGAATGGAAAAAATCAGTTTTTCCAAACTGCTAGGTCTAAAGAAAGGTGTAACTTTGTGAGATGAATGCACAGAACACAAAGCAGTTCCTCAGAAACTATTTTTCGACTTTTTATCTGATGATAGTTTCTTTTTCACCATAGGCCTCAATTTGCTCCCAAATATCTTATACCAGATCATACAAAAACAGTTTTTCCAAACTTCTTAACGAAAAGAAAGATAGACCTCTGCAAGACGAATGCACACATCACAAAGAGGTTCCTGAGATAGCTTCTTTCTGATTTTCTTCATGGGATATTCACTTTTTCGACTTTGGCGTCAAAGAGCTCCCAAATGTCTTTTCATAGAATGGACAAAAATATTGTATCCAAATTGCTGAATCAAAAGTAAGTTTTAACTCTGTGATATAAATGTCCACATCACAAAGCTGTTTCTCATATACATTCTTTCTGTTTTATTTGGTGATATTCACTTTTTCACCTTTTGCCTCAATGAGCTCCCAAAGGTCCATTTGCAGAATAAACGAAAATCATGTTTCTAAACTGCTGAATCAAAAGAAAGGTTTAACACTGCAAGATGAATGCACACATCACAAAACAGTTCCTTAGATAGCTTCCTTCTAGTTTTTATCTTGGGATATTCACTCTTTCACCATTGGCCTCAATGAGCTCCCAAATGTGCATTCCCAGATTGGACAAATAAAGTGTTTCCAAACTGCTGAATCAAAGGAAAAGTTTAAATCTGTCAGGTGAATGCACACATCACAAAGCAGTTTCTCAGAATGCTTCTTTCTAGTTTTTATCTGCAGATATTTTCTTTTTGAACATAGACCTCAATGTGCTCCCAAATAAACCTTTGCAGAGGCTACAAAAACAGTTTTTCCAACCTGATTAATGAAAAGAAATGTTTACCTCTGTGAGATGAATGAACACATCACAAAAAGATTTCTAATATAGCTTACTTCTAGTTTTCATCCTGAAACATTCCCCTTTTCGCTATTGGCCTCAATGAGCTCCAAGTTGTCCGTTCTGAGACTCTACAAAAACTGTGTTACCAAACTGCTGAAGGAAAAGAAATATTTAACTCCTCAAGCTGAATGCACACATCACAAAGCACTTTCTGAGATGGCTTCCTTTTCGTTTTTATCCTGGGATATTCAATTTTCACCATAGGCCTTAGTGAGCTCCCATATGGCCATCCACAGAATGGATATAAACAGTGTTTCCAAACTGTTGAATCAAAAGAAAAGTTTGACTCTGTGAGAGGAATTCACATATCTCAAAGCAGTTTCTCAGAAAGCTTCTTTCTAGTTTTTAATCTGAAGATATTTTCTTTTTCACCATAGGCCTCAATGAGCTATGCAAGTATAACTTCACAAATTCTACAAAAACAACGTTTCCAAGCTGCTGAATGAAATATATGATTTAACTCCATGAGCTGAATACACACATCACAAAGAGGTTTCTCAGATAGTGCCTTGTAGTTGTTTCCTGGAATATTCATTTTTTCACCTTTTGCCTCAATGAGCTCCCAAAAGTCCATTCGCTGAATGCACAAAAACAGTGTTTCCAAACTGCTGAATCAAAAGAAAGATTAAACTCTGCTAGATGAATGCAAACATCACAAAAGGGTTTCTCAGATAACTTCCTCGTAGTCTTTATCTGGGGATATTTTCTTTTTCACCATTGTCCTCAATGTGCTCCCAATTGTCCATCTGGAGATTCTACAAAAACCGTGTTACCAAACTGCTGAAGAAAAAAAAATATTTAATGCCTCAAACTAAATGCACACGTCACAAAGCGATTTCTGAGATAGCCTCAACTAGTTTTTATCCTGAGATATTCACTGTTTCACCATAGGCCTTAATGAGCTCCTGTATGGCCATCCACAGGAATGGACATAAACAGTGTTACCAAACTGCTGAATCAAAAGAAACGTTTACCTCTGTGAGACAAATGCACACATCACAAACAGTTTCTCAGAGAGCTTCTTTCTATTTTTTACCTGAAGATAATTTATTTTACACCATAGGCCTCAATGTGCTCCCAAACATCCCTTTGCAGATTCTACAAAAAAAGTGTTTCCAAACTGCTGAATAAAAAGAAGGGTTTAACGCTGTGAGATGAATGCAAACATCACAAGGTGGTTTCTCAGATAGCTTCCTTTTAGTTTTTATCCTGGGACATTTGATTTTTTGCCATTGGCCTCAATGAGCTCCCAGATATTCGTACTCAGAATGGACAAAAACAGTGTTCCCAAACTGTTGAATTGAAAGAAAAGTTTAATTCTGTGAGGTGAATGCACACATCTCAAAGCAGTTTCTCAGAAATCTTCTTTCTTGTTTTTATCTGAAGATATTTTCTTTTGGACCATAGGCCTCAATGCAGTATGCAAATAACCCTTCACATGTTCTACAAAAACAATGTTTCCAAACTGCTGAATGAAATGTAAGATTTAACTCCATGAGCTGAATACACACATCACAAAGCAGTTTCTCAGATAGTGCCTTGTAGTTTTTTCCAGGGATATTCACTTTTTCACATTTTGCCTCAATGAGCTCCAAAATGTCCATTCACAGAATGCACAAAAACAGTGTTTGCAAACTGCTGAATCAAAAGAAAGGTTTAACTCTGCAAGATGAATGCACACATCACAAAGCAATTTCTCAGATAGCTTCTTTGTAGTTTTTATCTGACAATATTTTCTTTTTCAACATAGGCCTCAATGTGCTCCCAAATATCTCTTTGCAGATTCTACAAAAACGGCATTTCCAATCTGCTGAATGAAAAGAAATGTTTAACTCTGCGAGATGAATGGACACATCACAAAGCAGTTTCTCAGGTAGCTTCTTTCTAGTTTTAATCCTGGGATAATCACTTTTTAGCCATTGGCCTCAGTGAGCTCACAAATGTCCACTCACAAAATGGACAAAAACAATGTTTCCAAACGGCTGAATGAAAAGAAAATGTTTATCTCTGCGAGATGAATGCACACAACACAAAGCAGTTTCTCAAAAAGTTTCATTCTAGTTTTTATCTGAAGATATTTTCTTTTTCACCACAGGCCTTAACATGCTCACAAATTTTCCTTCACGGATCCTACCAAAGCAGCCTTTCCAAACTGCTGAATGAAAAGAAAGGTTTACCTCTACGAGATGAATCCACACATCACAAGGGGTGTCTAAGATAGTTTCCTTCTAGTTTTTATCCTTGAATATTCACTTTTTCACTATTGGCCTCAATGAGCTCCCAAATATCCAATTGCAGAATAGAGAAAAACAGAGTTTACAAACTGCTGAGTCAAAATAACGTTTTAACTATGTGAATTAAATGCACCCATCACAAAGCAGTTTCTCAGAAAACTTCTTTCTAGTTTTTATCTGAAGATATATCCTTTCTCACCATAGGCCTCAAGGCGCTCCAAAATATCCCTTCTGAGATTCTACAAAAACAGTGTTTCCAAACTGCTAAATAAAAAGAATGCTTTAAATCTGTGAGATGAATGCACCAATACCAAAGCAGTTTCTCAGAATGCTTCTTTCTAGTTTTTATCTGAAGATGTTTTCTATTTCACCATAGGCCTCAATGGGCTCCCAAATATAACTTCGTCGATACTGCAATAACAGTGTTTCCAAACAGCTGGATGAAAAGGAAGTTTTTAAACTGTGAAGTGAATGCACACATCACAAAGCTGTTTCTCAAAAGCTTCTTTCTAGTTTTTATGTGAAGATATTTCCTTTTTCACCAAAGGTCTCAATGTGTTCCCAAATATCCCTTTGCAGCTTCTACAAAAACAGTGTTTCCAAACTGCTGCATGAAAAGAAAGTTTTAACTCTGTGAGATTTATGCACACATCACAAAGCAGTTTCTCAGATAGCTTCTTCTTGTTTTTATCCTGGGATATTCGCATTTTTGCCATTAGTCTCAATGTGCTCTTAAATATCCATTTGCAGAATGGAGAAAAAGATTGTTTCCAAACTGCTGAATCAAAGGAAAGTTTTCGCTCTGTGGGATGAATGCACACATCAAAAAGCAGTTTGCCAGAAAGCTTCATTGCAGTTTTGATCCTGGAATTTTCACTTTTTCATCATTGGCTTCAATGAGCTCACAAGTATCCATTCACAGAAAGGATAAAAACAGGGTTTCCAAACTGCTGAATCAAAAGAAAGTTTTACTCTGCAAGATAAATGCACACATCACAAAGTGGATTCTCAGGTAATTTGCTTCTAGTTTTTATCCTTTGATATTAACTTTTTCACCTTTGGCCTCAATGAGCTCCCAAAAGTCCACTCACAGAATGGACAAAAACAGTGTTTCCAAACTGCTGAATCAAAAGAAAGATTTCACATTGTGAGATGAATGCACACATCACAAAGTGGATTCTCAGGTAGCTTGCTTCTAGTTTTTATCCTTTGATACTCACTTTTTCACCATTGGCCTCAATGAGCTCCCAAAAGTCCATTCACAGAATGGACAAAAACAGTGTTTCCAAACTGCTGAATCAAAAGAAAGATTTCACACTGTGAGATGAATTCACACATCACAAAGTGATTTCTCACATAGCTTCCTTCTAGTTTTTATCCTTAGATATTAGCTTTTTTGCCATTGGTCTCAATGAGCTCCCATATGTCCATTCAAAGAATGGACAAAAAGAGTGTTTCCAAACTGCTAAATCAGAGGAAAGTTTTAACTCTGTGGAGGAATGCACACATCACAAGGCAGTTTCTAAGAAAGCTTCTTTCTAGTTTTTATCTGAAGATATTTTCTTTTTCACCGTAGGCCTCAATGCACTCCCATATATCCCTTTGAGGATTCTACAAAAACAGTGTTTCAAACAGCTGAATGAAAAGAAATGTTTAACTCTCTGAAATGAATGAACATATCACAAAGTGGTTTCTCAGATAGCTTCCTTCTAGATTTTATCCTGGGTATCTTCTTTTTCACCACAGTCCTCAATAAGCTCCGAAAAGTCCATTCACAGAATGGACAAAAACCGAGATTTCAAACTGCTGAATCAAAAGAAAGTTTTCACTGTGAGATGAACACACACATTCAAAAGTGGTTTCTCATAGCTTCCTTCTAGTTGTTATTTTTTGGATATTTGCATTTTTGCTATTGGCCTCAATGAGCTCCCAAACTTTGCAAGATGAATACACACACCACAAGATGGCTTCTCAGATAGCTCCCTTCTACATTTTATCCTGGGATGTTCACTTTTTCACCTTTGGCCTCAGTTATCACCCAAATGTCCATTTGCACATTGGAAAAAACAGTGTTTCCTAACTGCTCAATTAAAAGAAAGTTTGATCTCTGTGAGATGAATGTAAACGTCACAAAATGGTTTTTCAGATAGCTTCCTTCTAGTATTTATCTGAAGATATTTTCCTTTTCACCATATGCCTCAATGCGCTCCCAAATATCCCTTCACAGATTCTACAAAAACAGTGTTTCCCTACTGCTGAATGAAAAGAAATGTTTAAGCCAGTGAGACAAATGCACACAACACAAAAAGGTTTCCCATATAGCTTCCTTCTTGTTTTTATCCTTGGATATTCGCTCTTTTGCAATTGGCCTCAATGAGCTCAACATGTCCATTTGCAAAATGGACAAAAACGGTATTTTCAAACTGCTGAATTTAAAGAAAGGTTTAAATCTGTGGGATGAATGGACATATCACAAAGCAGTTTCTCACAAAGCTTCTTTCCCATTTTTTTCAGAAGATAATTTCTTTAACACCATAGACCTCAATGTGCTCTCAAATATCAATTCGCTAATTCCACAAAACAGTGTTTCCAAACTGCTCAATGAACAGAAATATTTAATTATGAGAGATGAATGCACCCATCACAAAGTGTTTTCTCAGCTTCCTTCTAGTGAATATCCTTCTATATTTGCTTTTTCGCCATTGGCCACAAAGAGCTCCAAAATGGCCATTTGCAGAATGGAAATAAACATTGTTTCCAATCTGCTGAACGAAAATAAACGTTTAACTCTGTGACACGAAGGTACACATCACAAAGCAGTTTCTCAGAAAGCTTCTTTCTAGTTTTTATGTGACAATATTTCCTTTTTCACTATAGGCCTCAATGCACTGCCAAATATCCCTTCACAGATTCTACAAAAACAGTCTTTCCAAACTGCTGAATGAAAAGCAGGTTTTAACTCTGTGAAGTGAATGCACACATCACAAAATGGTTTCTCAGGTTGCTTCCTTCTAGTTTTTATCCTTGGATATTCACTTTTTCAACATTGGCCTCAATGAGCTCCCAAATGTCCATTTATAGTATGGACAAAACAGTATTTCCAAACTGCTGAATCTAAAGAAAGGTTTAACCCTGTGAGATGAATGCACAGCTCACAAAGCATTTTCTCATAGCTTCTTTCTAGTTTTAATCTGAAAATATTTCCTTTTTCAGCAAAGGCCTCAATATGCTCCCAAATACCCTTTTGCAGATTCTACAAAAACAGTGTTTCCAAACCACTAAATTAAAAAAAGGTTTAACTCTGCAGTGTGATGGCACATTTTATTGAGCAGTTTCTCCGATAGCTTCCTTCTAGTATTTTTCCTGGGGTATTCCCTTTTTTGCCATTGGTTTCAATGAGCTCTGAAATGTCCACTCACAGAATGGGAAAAAAAACAGTGTTTCCAAAGCGCTGAATCAAAAGAAAGGTTTACCTCTCTGAGATGAATGCACACATCAGAATGCCATTTCTCATAAAACTTCTTTCTAGTTTTTATTAGAAGATATTTTCTTTTTCACCAAAGTCCTCAACGCACTCCCACATATCACTTTGCAGATACTAAAAAAATAGAGTTTACAAACTGCTCAATGAAAAGAAAGGTTTAACTCTGTGAGATAAATGCACACATCACAGTGCAGTTTCTCAGATAGCTTCCTTCTATTTTTTTTCCTGGTATATACCCTTTTTCACGTTGGCCTCTATGAACTACCAAATATCAATTCACAGAATGGACCAAAACAGTGTTTCAAAACTGCTGAATCAAAAGAAAGGTTTAACACTGTGAGAAGAATGCACATATCACAAATTGGTTTCTCAAATGGCTTCCTTCTAGTTTTTATCCCAGGATATTCGCTTTTTTGTCATTGGCCTCAATGAGCTCCCAAATGTCCATTCGAAGAAAGGAAAAGACAGTGTTCGAAAACTGCTGAATAAAGCAAAGTTTTAAGTCTGTGAGATGAATGCACACATCACAAAGCAGTTTCTCAGAAAGCTAATTTCTAGTTTTTATCTGAAGTTATTTTCTGTTTCACCTTAGGCCTCTATGTGCTCCTAAATATCCCTTTGAAGGATCTACAAAAATAGTGTTTCAAAGAGCTGATTGAAAAGAAAGGTTTAACTCTCTGAGATGAATGAACATATCACAAAGCTGTTTCTCAGATAGTTTCCTTCTAGTTTTTATCCTGGAATATTTGCTTTTTCACCACTGGCTTCAATAAGCTCCCAAATATCCATTCCCAGAATGGACAAAAACAGAGTTTCCAAACTGTTGAATCTAAAGAAAATGTGAGCTCTGTGAGAGAATGCACACTTTCCAAAGCAGTTTCTCATAGTTTCCTTCTAGTTTTTATTTTTGGAAATTTACTCTTTTGCTATTGGCCTCAATGATCTCCCATTCACAGAATGGACAAAAAGTATGATTCCAAACTGCTGAATGAAGAAAAGGTTTAACTTTGTGAGATGAATGTGCACATCACCAATCGGTTTCACAAATAGTTTCCTTGTAGTTTTTATCCTTGGATATTTGCTTTTTTTCCATTGGCCTAAATGAGCTCCCAATTGACCATTGGCAGAATGGGCAAAAACAGTGTTTCAAAACTGCTGAATCAAAAGAAAGGTTTAAATTGGTGAGATGAATGCACACACCACAAAACAGTTACTAAGAAAGCTCCTTTCTAGTTTTTATCTGAAGATATTTTCTTTTCTCAATAGGCCTCAATGCCCTCCAAAATACACCGTCACAGATTCTACAAAAACATTGTTTCCAAACAGCTGAATAAAAAGAAACATTTACTTCTGAAAAATGAATACACACATCACAACATGGTTTCTCAGCTCCATTCAAGGTTTTATCCTGTGATATTCTTTTTTTTTCACTGCTGGCCTCAATTTGCTCTCAAATGTCCATTCACAGATTGGACAAAAACAGTTTCTCCAAATTGCTCAATTAAAACAAAGTTTTATCTCTGTGAGACAAATGCAAACATCACAAAGCAGTTTCTCAGATAGCTTCCTTATAGTTTTTATCTTAGAATATTTTCTTTTTTGCCCTTGGCCCCAAGGAGCTCCCAACTATCCATTCTCAGAATGGACAAAACAGTGTTTCCAAACTGCTGAATCAAAAGAAGAGTTTAACTCAGTGAGATGAATGCACACGTCACAATGCAGTTCCTCAGAAAGCTTTTTTCTGATTCCTTTTTTTCTTTCTTTTTTTTCTTTTATTATTATACTTTAAGTTTTAGGGTACATGTGCACATTGTGCACGTTAGTTACATATGTATACATGTGCCATGCTGGTGCACTGCACCCACTAACTTGTCATTTAGCATTAGGTATATCTCCCAATGCTATCCCTCCTCCCTCCCGCCACCCCACAACAGTCCCCAGAGTGTGATGTTCCCCTTCCTGTGTCCATGTGATCTCATTGTTCAATTCCCACCTATGAGTGAGAATATGCGGCGTTTGGTTTTTTGTTCTTGAGAATAGTTTACTGAGAATGATGATTTCCAATTTCATCCATGTCCCTACAAAGGACATGAACTCATCATTTTTTATGGCTGCATAGTATTCCATGGTGTA
Organism: Homo sapiens; assembly: GCF_000001405.40. Taxonomy (NCBI): domain Eukaryota; kingdom Metazoa; phylum Chordata; class Mammalia; order Primates; family Hominidae; genus Homo; species Homo sapiens. The sequence goes on along the minus strand of NT_187383.1, from coordinate 562,745 downwards.
TATGTGCCACATTTTCTTAATCCAGTCTATCAGTGTTGGACATTTGGGTTGGTTCCAAGTCTTTGCTATTGTGAATAGTGCCACAATAAACATATGTGTGCATGTGTCTTTATAGCAGCATGATTTATAGTCCTTTGGGTATATACCCAGTAATGGAATGGCTGGGTCAAATGGTATTTCTAGTTCTAGATCCCTGAGGAATCGCCACACTGACTTCCACAATGGTTGAACTAGTTTACAGTCCTACCAACAGTGTAAAAGTGTTCCTATTTCTCCACAACCTCTCCAGCACCTGTTGTTCCCAGACTTTTTAATGATTGCCATTCTAACTGGTGTGATATGGTATCTCATTGTGGTTTTGATTTGCATTTCTCTGATGGCCAGTGATGATGAGCATTTTTTCATGTGTTTTTTGGCTGCATAAATGTATTCTTTTGAGAAGTGTCTGTTCATGTCCTTCACCCACTTTTTAATGGGGTTGTTTGTTTTTTTCTTGTAAATTTGTTTGAGTTCATTGTAGATTCTGGATATTAGCCCTATGTCAGATGAGTAGGTTGCGAAAATTTTCTCCCATTTTGTAGGTTGCCTGTTCACTCTGATGGTAGTTTCTTTTGCTGTGCAGGAGCTCTTTAGTTTAATTAGATCCCATTTGTCAATTTTGGCTTTTGTTGCCATTGCTTTTGGTGTTTTAGACATGACGTCCTTGCCCATGCCTATGTCCTGAATGGTATTGCCTAGGCTTTTTTCTGATTCTTATCTGAAGATATTTTCCTTTTCACCACAGGCCACAATGCACTCCCAAATATCCCTTTGCAGATTCTACAAAAACAGTGTTTCTAAAGCACTGAATGGAAAGAAATGTTTAAGTCAGCAAGACAAATGCACACATCACAAAGAAGTTTCTTAGATAGGTTCCTTCTAGTTTTTATCCTTGGATATTCACTCTTTTGCAATTGGCCTAAATGAGCTCAAAAATGTCCATTCAAAAAATGGACAAAAACAGTGTTTCCAAACTGCTGAATGTGAAGAAAGTTTTAACTCTGTGAGATGAATGGCCACATCACAAAGCAATTTCTCACAAAGGTTCTTTCCCATTTTTTCCAAAAATATTTTCTTTTTCTCCATAGGCCTCAATGCACCCCCAAATATCAATTCACAAATTCTACAAAAACAGTGTTTCCAAACTGCTCAATGAAAAGAGAATTTTAGCTATGTGAGATTAATGCACAGTTCACAAAGCAGTTTCTCAGATACCTTTCTTCTAGTTTTTATCCCAGGCTATTCCCTTTTCACCATTGGCTTCAATGATCTCCCAAATGTCCATTCGCAGAATTGACAAAAACTCTGTTTCCAAACTGCCAAATCAAAAGAAAGCTTTAACTCTGTGAGATGAATGCACACGTCACAAAGCAGTTTCTCAGAAAGCTCATTTCTAGTTTTTATCTGAAGTTATTTTCTGTTTCACCTTAGGCCTCTATGTGTTCCTAAATATTCCTTCACAGTTTCTGCAAAAACAGTTTCTCCAAACTGCTGAGGGAAAATGATGGTTTAACTCTGTGAGGTGAATGCACACATCACCAAGAGAGTTCTCTGATTGCTTCCTTCTAGTTTTTATCCTCGGATATTCACTTTTTCGCCATTGGCCTCAAATAGCTCTGAAATGTCCATTCACAGAATAGAAAAAAACTGTGTTTCCAAACTGCTGAATCAAAAGAAAGGTTTAACTGTGTGAGATGATGGCACACTTCAAAAAGTAGCTTCTCAGAAAGCTTCTGTCTAGTTTTTATCTGAAAATATTTCCTTTACAACCGTTGGCCTCCATGCACTCCAAAATATCCCTATGCAGATTGAATAAAAATCATGTTTAAAACTGCTGAATAAAAAGAAAGGTTTACACATGACAATGTGATTTCTCAGACAGCTTCATTCTAGTTTTTAACCTGGGATATTTGCTTTTTTGCCAATGACCTCAATGAGCTCCCAAATATCCATTCACAGAAAGGAAAAAAACTGTTTACAAACTGCTGAATCAAAGAAAGTTTTAAATCTATGCAATGAATGCCCCCATCACAAAGTGGTTTCTCAGACAGCCTCCTTCTAATTTTTATCCTGGGATACTCACTTTTTTGCCATTGGCCTCAAGGAACTCTCAAGTGTCCATTTGCAGAATGCACAAAAACAGTGTTTCAAAACTGCTGTATCAAAAAAAGATTTAACTTTGTGAAATGAATGCACACATCACAAAGCAATTTCTCAGATAGCTTCCTTCTAGATTTCATCCTGGGATAGTCTCTTTTTCACCATTAGCTTAATGACCTTTCAAATGTCCATTTGCAGAAAGTACAAAAATAGTGTTACCAAACTGCTGAATCAAAAGCAATGTTAAACTCCGTGAGATGAATGAGCATACTGAAAAGTGGCTTCTCCAGTAGCTTCCTTCTTGATTTTTTCCTGGGATATTTGTTTTCTCACTGTTGGACTCAATGAGCTCCCAAATGACCGCACGCAGAATGGACAAAAACAGTGTTTCCAAACTGCTGAATCAAAAGAATGGTTCAACTTTTTGAGATGAATGCAAACATCACATCTCAGAAAGTTACTTCTAGTCTTTTTCTGAAGATATTTTCTTTTTCACCATAGGCCACAATGCTCTCCCAAATACCTCTTAGCTGATTCTACAAAAACAGTATTTCTAAACTGCTGAATGAACAGAAAGTTTACCTCTGTGAGATGAATGCACACATCACAATGCTGTTTCTCAGATAAATTCCTTCTAGTTTTCATAATGGGATATTCGGTTTTTCACTATTGCCCTCAATGAGCTCCCAAATGTACATTCACAGAATGAACAAAAACTATGTTTCCAAACTGCTGAATCAAAAGAATGGTTTAACTCTTGGAGATGAATGAAAGCATCACAAAGCAGTTTCTCAGAAAGTTTCTTTCTAGTTTTTATATCTGAAGATATTTTCCTTTTCACTATAGGCCACAATGTGCTCCCAAATATCCCATCACAGATTCTAACAAAAGAGTGCTTTAAAACTGCTCAATAAAAGGAAAGATTTAATTCTCTGAGATGAAGGCACACATCACAAATTGGTTCCTCATATAGCTTCCTTTTGGATTTGCCCTGGGATTATCGCACTTTCATCATTGACCTCAAAGAGCTCCCAAATGTCCATTCACAGAAAGGACTAAAACAGTGTTTCCAAACTGCTGAATCAAATAAACTTTTAAATCTGCGTGATGAATGCACCCATCACAAAGTGATTTCTCATACAGCTTCCTTCTAGTTTTTATCCTTGGATATTCACTTCACCATTGGTCTCAAGGAGCTCCTAAGTGTACATTCACAAAATGGACAAAAACATTATTTCAAAACTGCTGAATCCAAGGAAAGGTTTAATTCAGTGAGGTGCAGGTACACATCACAAAGCAGTTTCTCAGAAAGATTATTTCTAGTTTTTATCTAAATATATTTACTTTTTCACCATAGGCATCAATGCACTCCCAAATATTTCTTAGCAGATGCTAAAAAACAAAGAAAAAACTTTCCAAACTGCTAAATGAAATGAAAGGTTTAACTCTGCTTGGTGAATGCACATATCACAAAACCGTTTATCAGATAGGTTCCCTCTAGTTTTTGTCCTGTGATATTCATTTTTTTTTGCCATTGGCCTCAATGAGCTCCCATATGTCCATTCACAGAATGGACAAAAAAAATGCTGAATCAAAAGAAATGTTTACCTCTGTGAGATGAATGCACACTTCACTAAGCACTTTCTCAGAATGTTTCTTTCTAGTTTTTATCTAAAGGTATTTTCTTTTTCACCATTGGCATCCAAGAGCTCCCAAATATGCCATCACAGATCCTTCAAAAACTGTGTTTCCAAATGCTAAATGAAAAGAAATGTTAACATATCATAAAGCAGTTTTTCAGATAGCTTCATTCTAGTTTTTATCTTTGTATTTTCACTTTTTTGCAATTCACCTCAATGAGATCCCAAATATCCATTCACAGAAAGTACAAAAACAGTGTTTACAAACAGCTGAATCAAAAGAAAGTTTTACATCTCATAGATGAATGCACAAACAACAAAGCAGTTTCTCAGAAAGCTTCTTTCTAGTTTTTATTTGGAGATATTTTCTTTATCCACATAGGCCTCAAAAGACACCCAAGTATTCCTTCACAGATACTACAAAAACAGGGTTTCCAAGTTGCTGAATGAAGAGAAAGGTTTACCTTGGTGAGATGAATACACATCAAAAAGCAGTTCCTCAGATACCGTTTTTCTAATTTTTATCCTGGGATATTCACTTTTTCACCATTGTCCTGAATGAGCTCCTAACTGTCCATTCTCAGAATGGACAAAACCGTGTTTCTAAACTGCTGAATGAAAAGAAACTTATACCTCTGTGGGAAGAATTGACACATCACAAAGCATTTTCTCTGGTAGCTTCCTTTTAGTTTTTATCCTGGGATATGCACTTTTTCACTATTGGCCTCAATGAGCTGTCAAATATCCATTGGCAGAATGGACAAAAACAGTGTTTCCAAACTCCTGAATGAAAAGACAGGTTTAACTCTGTGAGATGAATGTGCACATCACAAAGCATTTCTCAGATAGCTTCCTTCTAGTTTTTATCCTGGGATATTTGCTTTCTCTCCATTGGCTTCAATGAGTTTTCAAATGTCTATTCACAGAATGGACAAAAACAGTTTTTGAAAACTGCTATATCAAAAGAAAGGTTTAACTCTGTGGAATGAATGCACACATCACAAATCAGTTTCTCAGAAAGCTTCCACCTAGTTTTTATCTGAAGGTATTTTATTTTTCACCGTCTCAATGCACTGTGAAACAACCCTTCAGATATTCTACAAAAACAGTGTTTCAGAACTGCTGAATGAAAAGTACGTTATAACTCTGAGAGTTGAATGCACACCAAACAAGGCGGTTTTTCAGATAGCTTCCTTCTAGTTTTTGTCCTGAGATATTCACTTTTTCTTCATTGGCCTCAAGGAGTTTTCAAATGTCTATTCACAGAATGGACAAAAACAGTTTTTGAAAACTGCTGAATTAAAAGAAAGGTTTAACTCTCTGGAACGAATGCACACATCACAAATCAGTTTCTCAGAAAGCTTCCATCTAGTTTTTATCTGAAGGTGTTTTATTTTTCACCATAGGCCTCAATGCACTCCGAAATTGCCCTTCAGAGATTCTTAAAAAAGCAGTGTTTTCAAACTGCTGAATCAAAAGAAAAGTTTAACTCTTCAAGATTAATGCACACCTAAGAAAGCCGAGTCTCAAATAGCTTCATGTAGTTTTTATCGTGGCATATTTTCTGTTTTGTCGTTGGCCTCAATAAGCTGCCAAATGTCCATTTGCAGAATGGACAAAAACAGTGTTTCCAATCTGCTGAACAAAAAGAAAGGTTTAACTCTGCAGGATGAATGCACACATCACAAAGCAGTACCTCAGAAAGATTCTTTGTAGTTTTTATCTGAATTTAATTTCTTTTCCACTGTAGTCCTCATTGCGTTCCCAAATATGTCTTTGCAGATTCTACAACAACAGTGTTTCCAAACTGCTGAATGAAAAGAAAAATTTAATTCTGTGAGATGAATGCACAATTTACAAGTGGTTTCTCAGATAGTGTCCTTCTAGTTTTTATCCTGAGATATTAACTTTTTTTGCCAGCCTCAAGGAGCTTTCAAAAGTCTATTCACAGAATTCACAGAGACAGTGTTTCTAAACTGCTGAATCAAAATAAAGGGTTCACTCTGTGAGATGAATGCACACATCACAAAACAGTTTCACAAAAACTTTCCGTCTGGCTTTAACCTGAACATATTTTCTTTTTCACCATAGGCTTAAATGCACTCCCAATTATTCCTTCTCAGATTTGAGAAAAACAGTGTTTCCAAACTGTTGAATGAAAGAAAGGTTTATCTCCATGAGATGGAAGCCCACATCACAAAGCACTTTCTCTAATAGTTTCCTTCTTGTTTTTCTCCTGGGATACTCGCCTTTTCGCCATTGGTCTCAATCTGCTCCCAAATGTCCATTCACAGAATGGACACAAATGGTGTTTCCAAACTGTCGAATGAAAAGAAACATTTAACTGTGTGAGATGAATGGACACAACACAGAGCAGTTTCTCAGCATGCTTCTTTCTAGTTTTTATTTGAGTATACTTTCTTTTTCACCATAGGCTGCAATGTGCTCCCAAATATCCCTTTGCAGATTCTTCAAAAACAGTGTTTCCAATCTGCTGAATGAAAATAAAGGTTTAAATCTGCGAGGTGAAAGCACATATCACAAAGCAGTATCTCAGAGACCTTCCTTCTGGTTTTTATCCTGGGATATTTGCTTTTACTCCATTGGTCTTACTGAGTTCCTAAACGTCCATTCACAGAATGGACAAAAATAGTGTTTCCAAACTACTTAATGAAAAGAAAGGTTTAACTCGGTGAGATGAATGCACACATCACAAAGGGGTGTCTCAGGTAGCTTCTTTTTAGTTGTTATCTGAAGATACTTGCTTTTTCACTATAGGCTGCTATGTTCTCCCAAATACACTTTTGCAGTTTCTACAAAAACAGGGTTTCCAAACTCCTGAATGAAAAGAACTGTTTAGCTCTGTGAGATGAATGCACCTATCAGAAAGCAGTTTCTCAGAAAGCTTCTTTCTAGTTTTTATCTGAATATATTTTCTTTTTCACCATAGTACTTAAAGTGCTCCCAAATATCCCTTTGCAGATTTTACAAAAACCGTGTTTCCTAATTGCTGAATGCAAAGAAAGGCTTATCTCTGCCAGGTGAATGCATACATCACAAGGCAGTTTCTCAGATCATTTCCTTCTAGTTTTTATCCTGGGATATTCACTTTTTTACCATTGGCCTCAATGAGCTGCTAAATGTCCATTCAGAGAGTGGACGTAAACAGTGTTTCCAAACTGCTGAATCAAAACAAAGTTTTAACTCTGTGGGGTGAATTCACACATCACAAAGCAGTTTCTCACAAAGCTTCTTTCTAGTTTTCATCTGAAGATATTTTCTACTTCACCATAGGCCTAAATGTGCTCCCAAGTATACTTTCACACATTCTACAAAAACAGTGTTTCCAACTGCTGAATCAAAAGAAAAGTTTAACTCTGTGACATGAATGTACACACCACAATATGGTTTCTTTGACAGCTCCATTCTTGTTTTTATCCTGAAATATTATTTTGTTCATCACTGGCCTAAATGACCCCCAAATGTCCATTCACAAAATGGACAAAAACAGTTTTTCCAAAGTGCTGAATCAAAAGAAATTTTTACCTGTGTGAGATGAATGCACACATCACAAAGCAGTTTTTCACAAAGCTTCTTTCTAGATTTTATCTGAAGTTATTTTCTTTTTCACCATAGTCCTCAAAGTACTCCCAAATATCTCTTCTCAGATTTTACAAAAACTGTTTCCAAACTGCTCAATCAAAAGAAAGGTTTATCTCTTATAGATGAATACATACATCACAGATCAATTTCTCACATAGCTTCCTACTATTTTTTACCCTTGGATATTTGCTTTTTTGAAATTGGCATCAATGACCTCCAAAATGTCCATTCAAAGAAAGGACAAAAACAGTGTTTGCAAACTTCTCAATCAAAAGAAATATTCATATCTGTGAGATGAATGGAAGCATCACAAAGCAGTTTCTCAGAAAGAGACTTTCTAGTTTTTTTCTTAAGATATATACTTTTTCATATATGTCAATGTGCTCCCAAATATCTCTTCTCAGATTCTATAAAAACAGTGTTTCCAAACTGGTGAAAGAAAAGAAAATTTTATCACTGCGAGATGAATGTACACATCACAAAGCAGTTTCTCAGCTAGGTTCCTTTGAGGTTGTAACCTTGGATATTTGCTTTTTCACCATTGGTCTCCAGGAGCTCCAAAATATTCTTTTGCAGGATGGACAAAAGCAATATTTCCAAACTGCTGAAGGAAAAGAAATATTTAACTCTGTGAGATGAATGCATGCAACACATTGTGGTTTGTCAGATACCTTCCTCCCAATTTTTATCTGGAATCTTCAGTATTTTGCCTTTGGCCTCAATGACCTCCAAAATGTCCATTCACAGAATGGACATAAACTATGTTTTCAAACTGCTAAATCAAAAGAAATGTTTAACTATGTGAGATGAATGCACACATTACAAAGTGGTTTCTCAGGTAGCTTCCTTCTAGCTCTTATCCTGAGAAATTTGCTTTTTTGCTATAGGCTTCAATGAGTTCCAAATTTCCACTCACTAATTGGACAAAAACTGTGTTTCCAAACTGCTGAATCAAAAGACAGTTTTAACTCTATCAGATGTATGCACACATCACAAAGCAGTTTCTCAGAAAGCTTCCCTCTAGTTTTTATCTGAAGATATTTTATTTTTCACCATAGGCCACAGGGCACTCATAAATATCCTTCTGCAGATTCTACAACAGTGTTTACAAACTGCTGCATGGAAAGAAAGGTTTATCTCCATGAGGTGAATACAAAGATCACAAGGCAGTTTCTCAGATAGATTCCATCTAGTTTTTATCCTGTTATAGTCTCTTTTTCGCCATTGGCCTCAATGAGCTCCCAAATGTCCATTTGCAGAATGGACAAAAGCAGTGTTTCAAAACTGCTGAATGAAAAGAACGGTTTAACTCTGTGAAATGAACGCACACATCACAAAGCAGATTCTCAGATAGCTTCCTTGTAGTTTTTATCCTTGGATATTCACTTTTTTGCCATTGGCCAAAATGTGTTCCCAAATGTCCATTCACGGAATAGACAAAAACAGTGTTTCCAAATGGCTAAATTTAAAAAAAAAAAGGTTTAACACTGTAAGATGAATGCACACATCACAAAGTGGTTTCTCAGATAGCTTCCTTCTAGTTGTTATCCTGGGATATTTTCTTTTTTGCCATTGTCTCAAAGAGCTCCAAAACGTCCATTTGCAGAATGGATAAAAACAGTGTTTCCAAACTGCTGAAAGAAAAGAAAGGTTTAACCCTGTGAGATGAATGCACACAGCACAATGCTGTGTCTCAGAAAGCTTCTTTCTTGTTTTCATCTGAAGATACTTTCTTTTTCACCACAGTCCTCAATGCACTCCCAAATGTCCCTTCGCAGATCTACAAAAACTGTGTTTCCAAACTGCTGAATGAAAGCAATCCTTTAAATTTGCAAGACAAATGCATTCTTCACAAAGTGGTTTCTCAGTTTCCTTCTAGTTTTTATCCTGATGCATGCTCTTTTTCCCCATTGGCCTCAATGATCTCCCAAATGTCTATTAATAGAATCGACAAAAACAGTGTTTCCAAAATGCCATATCAAAAGAAATGTTTAACTCTGCTAGATGAATGCACACATCACAAAGCAGTTTCTCAGATAGTTTCCTTCTAGTTTTTATCCTGGGATATTCATTTTTTTGCCATTCACCTCAATGAGCTCCAAAATGTTCATTCATGGAGTGGACAACAGCAGTGTTTCCAAACTGCTAAAAGAAAAAAAAGGTTTAAATCTGTGAGATGATTGCACACATCACAAAGGAGTTTCTATGAATGCTTCTTTCTAGTATTTATCTGGAGATATTTTCTTTTTCACCAAAGACCTCAATGGACTCCCTTGTATCCCTTCAGAGATTCTAAAAAAAACAGTGTTTCCAAACTGCTAAATCAAATCAAATGTTTATCTCTGCTAGATGAATGCACACTTTGTAAAATGGTTTCTAAGATAGCTTCCTTCTAGTTTTTTTCCTGGGATATTAGCTTTTTTGCCATTGGCCTCAATGAGCTCCTAAATGTCCATTAGCAGAATGGAAAAAAACAGTGTTTACAAATTGCTGAATCAAAAGAAACTTTTAACTCTATGAGATGAATGAACACATCACAATGCAGTTTCTCAGAGAGTTTCTTTCTAGTTTTCATCTAAAGATAATTTCTTTTTCACCGTAGTCCTCATTGTGCTCCCAAATATCCTTTCATAGATACTACAAAAACGGTGTTTCAAAAATGCTGAATGAAAAGAAAGGCTTATCTCTGCAAGATAAATGCCCATTAATTAAAGGGGTTTCTAAGATAGCTTCCTTCAAGTTTTTTTTTTTTTTTTCCTGGGACACTTGCTTTTTTGCCATTGACAACAATGTGCTCCCAAATGTCCATTTTCAGAATGGACAAAAACAGTGTATCCAAACTGCTGAATGAAAAGAAAGGTTTCACTCTGTGAGATGAATGCTGGCACCACAAAGTGATGTGTGAGATAGATTCCTTCAAGTTTTTATCCTGAGATATTCCGTTTTTCTCCTTTTGCCTCAATGATCTCCAAAATGTCCATTCACAAAATGGACAACAACAGTTTTTCCAAACTGCTGAATCAAAAAAAAGTTTAGCTTTGTGAAATGAATGCACACATCACAAATTAGTTTCTCAGAAAGCTTCTTTCTAGTTTTTGTCTGAAGATATTTTGTTTTTCACCATTGGGCTCAATGCACTCAAAAATATGACTTTGCAGATTCTACAAAAACACTGTTTCCAAACTGGTGAATGAAAAGAAACTTTTAAGACTGTGAGATGATGGCACACATCACATAGCAGTTTCTCAGATACCTTCCTTCTAGTTTTTATCCTGGGATATTCACTTTTTTGCCATTGGCCTAAATGAGCCCCCAAAGGTCCATTAGCAGAATGGACAAAAACAGTGTATCCACACTGGTGAATCAAAAAAAAGTATTAACTCTGTGAGATGAATGCACACATCAAAATGCAATTTCTCAGAAAGCTTCTTTCTAGGTTTTATCTGAAGATATTTTCTTTTACACCATAGACCTCAATGTGCTCCAAAATATCCCTTTGCAGATCCTATAAAAACCGTGTTTCCAAACTGTTGAAGGAAAAGAAATGTTTAATTTTGCGAGATGAATGCACACATCATAAATCCGTTTCTCAGATAGCTTATTTCTAGTTTTTATCCTCAGTTATTCACTTTTTTGCCATTGACCTCAATGAGCTCCCAAATATCCATTTACAGAATGAGCACAAACAGTGATTCCAAACTGCTGAATCAAAAGAAAGCTTTAAATCAGCGAGATCAATGCACACACCACAGAGTGGTTTCTCAGATAGCTTCCTTCTAGTTTTTACCCTGGGATATACACCTTTTCATGTGTGCCTTAATGAACTCCCAAATGTCCATTCACAGAATGGATAAAAACAGTGTTTCCAAACTGCTGAATCAAGATAAATGTTTATCTCTGTAAGATGAATGCACACATCACAAAGCAGTTTCTCAGAAAACGTCTTTCTAATTTTTATCTGAAGATATATTCTTTTTTCATCACAGAACTCAATGCACCCCCAAATATCCCTTCTCAGAGTCTACAAAAACAGTGTTACCAAACTGCTGAATCAAAACAAAGGTTTAACTCTGTGAGATGAGTGTACACATCACAAAGTGGTTTCTCAGATAGCTTGCTTCTCAGCTTCATCTTGGAATATTCCCTTTTTTGCCATTGACTTCCATGAGCTCCCAAATGTCCTTTTGCACAGTGGACAAAAACTGTGTTTCCAAACAGCTGAATCAAAAGCAAAGTTTAACTCTGTGAGATGAATTCACACATCACAAAGCAGTTTCTCAGAAAGTTTCCTTCTAATTTTTATCTGAAGGTATTTTCTTTTTCACCATTGGCCTCAATAAGATACAAAATATCCCTTTGCAGATTCTACAAAAACAGTGTTTCCTAACTGCTGAATAAAAAGAAACGTTTAAATCTGTGAGTTGAATGCACACATCACAAAGTGGTTCCTCAGATAGCTTCATTCTAGTTTTTCTCCTGGGATACTCGCTTTTTCACCTTTGGCCTCAAAGAGCTCCCAAATGTTCATTCACAAAAAGGACAAAGACAGTGTTTCCAAACTGCTGAATCAAAAGAAAGGTTTAAATCTGTGAGACGTATGCACACATCACAAAGTGGTGGATGTCATAGCTTCCTTATAGTTTTTATCCTGGGATATTCTCTTTTTCAACATTGGCATCAATAAACTGCTGAATCAAAAGAAAGGTTTAACTCTGTGAGATGAAGGCATACATCACAAAGTATTTTCTAAGAAAGCTTCTTTCCAGTTTTTAGATGAAGATATTTTCTTTTTCACCCTTCACAGATTCTACAAAAACAATGTTTCCTAACTGCTGAATGAAAAGAAAGGTTTAAATCTGCGAGATGAATGCACACATCACAAAGCCATTTTTCAGATAGGTTCCTTCAATTTTTATCCTGGGATATTTGCTTTTTCACCATTGGCCTCAAAGAGCTCCAAAATGTCCATTCACAGAATGGACAAAAACAGTGTTCCCACACTGCTGAGTGAAAAGGAATGTTTAACTCTGTGAGATGAATGCAGAAATCACAAAGCAGTTTCTCAGAAAACTTCTCTCTAGTTTTTATATGAAGATATATTCTTTTTTCACCATAGGACTAAAAGCATTCCCAGATATCCCTTCGTAGAATCCACAAAAACAGTGATTCCAAACTGCTGAATTAAAAGAAAGTGTTAATTCTGCGAAATGAAAGCCCACATCAAAAAGGGGCTTCTCAGACAGCTTCCTTCTAGTTTTCATTTGAGATATTCACTTTTTCACCTTTGGCCTCAGTGAGCTCCCAAAAGTCCTTTTGCAGAATGGACGAAAATACTGTTTCCAAACTGCTGAATCAAAGAAATGTTTTAACTCGGTGAGATGAATGCCCATATCACAAATCAGTTTCTTAAACAGCTTCCCTCTAGTTTTTATCCTGAGATATTCGCTTTTTTGCCATTGGTCTCAATTAGCTCCCAAATGTCCATTCGCAGAATGGACAAAAAGAGTTTCCAAACTGCTGAATCATAAGAAAGCTTTAACTCAGTGAGATGAATGTACACATCAGAAAGCAGTTTCTCAGATAGCTTCTTTCTAGTTTTTATCTAAAGATATTTTATTTTTCTACATAGGCCTCAGTGTGCTCTGAAATATCCCTTTGCAGATCTACAAAAAGAGTGTTTCCAACCTACTGAATGCAAAGTCACGTTTAACTCTGTGAGATGAATGCACATATCACAAAGCAGTTGCACAGAGAGCTTCCTACTAGTTTTTATTCTGGAATATTCAATTTTTTGCTATTGGCCTCAATAAGCATCAAAATATCCATTCTCCAAATGGACAAAAACAGCGTTTCCAATCTGTTGAATCAAAAGAAAAATTTAAGTCTGTGAGATGAATGCACATATCACAAATCAGTTTCTCAGGAAATTTCTTCCTAGTTTTTATTTGAAGATATTTTCTTTTTCACCATAGGTCTCAATAAGTTCCCAAATATCGCTTTGCAGATTGTACAAAAATGGTGTTTCCTAACTGCTGAATGAAAATGAAGGTTTAACTCTGCAAATTGAATGCAGACATCACAAAGTGGTTTCTCAGATAGCTTCTTTGTAGTTTTTATCCTGGGATATTTGCTTTATTGAAATTGGCCACAATGAGCTCCCAAATGTCCATCCACAGGAAGGACAAAAACAGTGTATGTAAACTGCTGAGTCAAAAGAAAGGTTTATCTATGAGACATGAATGTACACATCACAAAGCAGTTTCCCATATAGCTTCCTTCTAGTTTTTATCCTGGGATATTTGCTTTTTTGCTATTGGTCATTATCAGCTCCCAAATGTCCATTTGCAGAATGGACAAAAACAGTGTTTCCAAACTGCTGAATGAAAAGAAAGTTTTTACTCTGCCAGATGAATGCACACATCACAAAGCGGTTTCTCAGATAGCTTCCTCATGGTGTTTATCCTGGAATATTTGCTTTTTCGCTTTTGGGCTCATTGACGTCCTAACTCTCAATTTGCAGAAGGGACAAAAACAGTGTCTCCAAACTGCTGAATGAAAAGAAAGATTTAACTCTGTGAAGTGCATGCTTCTATCACCAAGCAGTTTCTCAGATACCTTCCTTTAGTTTTTATCCTGGGATATTCACTTTTTCACCTTTGGCCTCAATGGGCTCCCAAATGTCCTTTGTCAGAATGGACAAAAACAGTGTTTGCAAACTGCTGAATCAAAAGAAAGGTTTAAATCTGTGACACGAATGCATACATCACAAAGTAGTTTCTCAGAAAGCTTCATTCTATTTTTTATCTGAAGATATTTTCTTTTTCACCATAGACCTCAATGTGCTCCCAAATATTCCTTCACATATTATAGAAAAACAGTGTCTCCAAACTGCTGAATGAAAAGAAAGGTTTAACCTTGTGACATGAATACACACATAACAAAGCAGTTTCTCAGATAGCTTCCTTCTAGTTTTTCCCCTGGCATATTTGCTTTTTTGCTATTGGCCTCAATGAGCTCCAAACTGTCCATTCAAACAATGGGCAAAAAGACTGCTTCGAAACTGCTGAATCAAAAGAATGATTTACCTCTGTTGGATGAATGCATGCTACCCAAAGCAGTATCTCAGAAAGTTTTCTTGTAGTTTTTACTTGAAGATATTTTCTTTTTCATGACCGGCCTCAATGCATACCCAGATGTCCCTTTCCAGATTCTACAAAAACTGTGTTTCCAAATTGCTGAATGTAAAGAAAGGTTTAACTCTGCAAGATGAATGGACACATCACAAAGCAGTTTCTCAGTTTCCTTCTAGTTTTTATAACAGGATATTCCCTTTTTCAGAAAACCCATTGGCCACAATGAGCTCCCAAATGTCCTTTCACAAAATGGTCAAAAACAGTATTTCCATACTGCTGAATCAAAACAATGTTTAAATCTATGAGATGAATGCACACATCACAAATGTGTTTCTCATAAAGATTCTTTCTAGTTTTTATCTGAAGATATTTTCTTTTTCACCATAGGCCTCAAGGCAGTCCCAAATATCCCTTCACAAATTCTACAAAAACAGTGTTCCCAAACTGCTGAATACAAAGAAACATTCAACTCTGCGAGATGAATGCACACATCATGAAGAAGTTTCTCAGATAGCTTCCTTCTTGTTTTTGTCCTGAGATATTCGCTTTTTTGCCATTGGCCCAATGAGCTCCCAAATGTCCGTTTGCAGAATGGACAAAACAGTATTTCCAAAATGCTGAATGAAAGGAAAGGTTTAACTCTGTGAGATTAATGCACACATCACAAAACGGATTCTCAGATAGCTTCCTTCAAGTTTTAAACCTGGGATATTCCATTTTTCACTTTTGGCCTCAAAGAGCTACAAAATGTCCATTCACAGAATGGACAAAAGCAGTGTTTCCAAACTGCTGAATCAAAGGAAAGATTTTCCTCTCTGAGCTGAATTCCAAGATCACCAAGTATTTCTCAGAAAGCTTCTTTCTATTTTTTGTCTGAAGATATTTTCTTTTTCACCACAGGACTCAGTGGACCCCCAAATATCCATTTGCACATTCTACAAAAGCAGTGTTTCAAAACTACTGAATGAAAAGAAAGGTTTAACTCTGTGAGATGAATGCACACTTCACACATCGGTTTCTCAGATAGCTTCCTTCTAGTTTTTATCATGGGATATTCACTTTTCCACCATTGGCCTCAATGAGCTCCTAATCGTCCATTCGCAGAATGAACAAAAATAGTTTCCACACTGCTTAAACAAAAGAATGTTTTAACTCTGTGAGGTGAATACACACATCACAAAACAGTATCTCAGAAAATTTCCCTCTAGTTTTTAACTGAAGATATTTTCTATTTCATGATAGGCCTCAACATGTTTCCTAATGTGCCTTCACAGGTTTTACAAAAAGAGTCTTTCCAAACTGCTGAATAAAAAAAGTTTTAGCTCTGTGAAATAAATGCCCTCATCAACAAGCAGTTTCCCAGATAGCTTCTTTCTAGTTTTTATCTGATGATATTTACTTTATCAACATTGGCCTCAATCCACTGTAAAATATCTCTTCCAAGATCCTACAAAAATGCGTTTCAAAATTGCTGAATGAAAAGAAAGGTTTAACTCTGCAAGATGAATGCACACATGATAAAGCAGTTTCTCAGATAGCTTCCTTCTAATTTTTATACTGGGATATTCTCTTTCTTGAAATTTGACAAAATGAGCTCCAAAATGTCTATTCACATATCAGACAAAAAGTGTTCCCACACTGCTGAATAAAAAGAAAATTAACTGTGTCAGATTAATGGACAAATCACAACGCAGTTTCTCAGAAAATTTCTTTCTAGATTTTATGTGAAGATATTTTCCTTTTCACCATAGACCTCAATGTGCTCCCAAATGACCTTATGCAGATTCTACAAAAACAGTGTTTCCAAACTGATGAATGAAAAGGAAGGTTTAGGTATGTGAGATGAATGCACAGCTCACAAAGCAGTTTCTCAGAATGCTTCTTTCTAATTTTAATCTGAAGTTATTTTCTTTTTCATCATTGTCTTCAATGAGCTCCCAAATATCTAGTTGCTGATCTTACAAAATAGTGTTTCCAAACTGCTGAATAAAAGGAAGGTTAAACTCTGTGAGATGAATGAACACATAACAAAGTGGTTTCTCAGATAGCTTCCTTCCAGTTTTTATCCTGGGATATACTCTTTTTTGCCATTGGCCTCAATGAGCTCCCAAATGTCCATTCACAGAATGGACAAAAACTGTTTCCTAACTGCCGAATGTAAAGAAAGGTTTAAATCTGCCAGGTGAATGCACACATCATAAAGAGGTTTCTCCAGTATCTTCCTTCTAGGTTTTACCCTGGGATTATCGCTTTTTTGCCATTGGCCTCAATGAGCTCCCAAATCTCCATTTGGAAAATGTACAAAAACAGAGTATGCAAACTACTGAATCAAAATAAAGTTTTAACTTTTTGAGATGAATGCACATGTTACAAAGCCGTTTCTCAGAAAGCTTCTTTCTAGTTTTTATCTGAAGATAATTTCTTTTTCACCATAGGCCTCAATAAGCTCCCAGATATCCCTTTGTAGATTTTACAAAAAAGTGTTTCCTAACTGCTGAATGAATAAGAAGCTTTAACTCTGACAGTTGAATGCACATATCACAAATCAGTTTCTCAGATAGCTTCATTCTACTTTTTATCCTGGGACATTCACTTTTTTGCTATTGGCCTCAATTTGCTCCCCAAGGTCCATTCACAGTAAGGACAAAAACAGTGTTTCCAAAATGCTGAATGAAAAGAAATGTTTAACTGAGAGATGAATGAACACATCACAAAGTGGTTTATCAGATAGCTTCCTTCCAGTTCTTATCCTGGGATATTCACTTTTTTTACCTTTGGCCTCAATGAGCTCCAAAATGTCCATTTTAGGAATGGGCAAAAAAAGGTTTTCCAAACTGCTGAATCAAAAGAAAGGTTTAACTCTGTGAAATGAACTCACACACCTCAAAGCAGATTCTCAGAAAGCTTCTTCTTTCTAGTTTTTAAGTGAAAATATTTTCTTTTTCACCATAGGCCTCAATTCACTCCAAATATCCCTGTGCAGATTCTACAAAAATAGTGTTTCCAAACTGTTGAATGGAAAGAAAGGTTTACCTCTGTGAGATGAATGCAGACATCACCAAACTGTTTGTCATATAGCTTCCTTCTAGTTTTTATCCTGGGATATTCACTTTTTCACTGCTGTCCTCAATGAGCTCACAAATGTCCATTCCCAGAATGGAGGAAAAAAAAAGATTTTCCAAACTGCTGAATGAAAAGAAATGTTTATGTCTGTGAGATGAATGCAAATTTCAGAAAGCAGTTTCTGACATAGCTTCCTTCTAGTGTTTATCCTGGAATATTCGCTGTTTTGCTGTTGGCATCAATGAGCTCCCAAATGTCCATTCGCAGAATGGACGATGTGTTTCCAAACTGCAGAATCAAAAGTAAAGTTTACCTCTGTGAGATGAATGCACACATCACAAAGCAGTTACTCAGCAAGTTTCTTTCTAGTTTTTATTTGATGATATTTTGTTTTTCACCATGGGCCTCAATGCACTCCCAAAGATCCCTTCTCAGATTCTACAAAAACAGTGTTTCCAAACTGCTGAATGTAAAGAAAAGTTTAAATCTGTGAGATGAATGCACACATCACAAACCAGTTTCTCAGACAGCTTCCTTCTAGTTTTTATCCTGGGTTATTCACTTTTTTGCCATTTTCCTTAATGAGCTCCCAAATGTCCATTTTCTGAATGGAGACAAACAGTTTTTCCAAACTGCTTAATCAAAGAAATGTTCAACCTTGTGAGATGAATGAATCCATCACAAAGCAGTTTTTCAAAAAGCATCTTTCTAGTTTTTATTTGATGATATTTTGTTTTTCACCATGGGCCTCAGTGCACTCCCAAATATGCCTTTTCAGATTCTACATAAACAGTGTTTACAAACTGCTGAATGAAAAGAAATGTTTACCTCTGTGAGATGAATGCACACTTCACAAAGCCATTTTGCAGATAGCTTCAGTGTAGTTTTTATCCTGAGATATTAGTTTTTTCACAATTGACTTTAATGAGCTTCCAAATGTCCATTCGTAGAATGGACCAAAACAGTGTTTCCAAACCTCTGAATCAAAAGAAACGTTTAACTCTATGAGATGAATGTAGACATCACAAAGCAGTTTCTCCAAAAACTTCTTTCTAGATGTTATCTGAAGATATTTTCTTTTTCACCATAGGCCTCACTGCACCCCCAAATGTACTTTCTCAGATTCTACAAAAACAGTGTTTCTAAACAGCTGCATGAAAAGAAAAGTGTATCTCTGTGAAATAAATGCACACATCATAAAGGGGTTTCTCTGATAGCTTCCTTCTAGTTTTTATCCTGGGATATTCACTTTTTCACCATTGGCCTCAATGGGCACCAAAATATCCATTTGCAGAATGGACAAAAACAGTTTTTCCAAACTACTTAGTCAAAAGAACATTTTAAGAGTGTGGGATGAATGCACAAATAACAAAACAGTTTGTCAGAAAGCTTCATTCTAGTTTTTATCTGAAGATATTTTCTTTTTCACCATAGGCCTTGAGGTGCTCCCAAATATCTCTTCGCAGATTCTACAAACACAGTGTTTCCAAACTGCTGAATGAAAGGAAACGTTTAGCTCTGTGAGATGAATGCACACATCACAAAGGAGTTTCTCTGAAATATTCTTTCTAGTTTTTATCTGAAGATGTTTTCTTTTTCACAATAAGCCTCAATGTGCACCCAAATAGTCCTTCACAGATTATACAAAAGCAGTGTTTCCAAGCTGTTGAATGAAAAGAAAGGTTTAATTCTCTGAGATGAATGCACACATCACAAAGGGGTTTCTGAGATAGCTTTCTTTTTATTTTTATCCTGGGATATTCCTTTTTCTCCATTGGCCTCAGGGAGCTCCTAAATGGCCATTTGCAGAATGGATAAAAACACTGTTTCCAAACTGCTGAATCAAAAGTAAGGTTTAAATTTGTGAGATGAATGCACACATTGCAAGTGGTTTCTTGGATAGATTCCTTCAAGTTTTCATCCCGGGATGTTTGCTTTTTCAACATTGGCCTCAATGAACTTCCAAATGTCCATTCACAGAATAAACAAAAACAGTGTTTCCGAACTGCTGAATCAAAAGAAAGTTTTAACTCTGTGAGATGAATGCACACATCACAAAGCAGTTTCTCAGAAAGCTTCTTTCTTGCTTTTATCTGAAGATATTTTCTTTTTCACCATAGGCCTCAATAAGATCCCAAAATCCCTTCACAGATTCTACAAAAACAGTGGTTCTTAACTGCTGAATAAAAAGAAGGTATAATTCTGTGTGTTGAATGCACACATCACAAAGCAGTTTCTCACATAGCTTCATTCTAGTTTTTATCCTGGGACTTTCACATTTTTGCCCTTGGCCTCAAAGAGCTCCGAAATATCCACTCACAGAAAGGACAAAAACAGGTTTTCAAAACTGCTGAATCAAAAGAAAGGTTTATCCCTGTGAGACAAATGCACACATCACAAATCACTTTCTCTGAAACTTCTTTCTAGTTTTTCTCTCTTTTTCAGCATAGGACTCAATGCACTCCCAAATATCCCTTAACAGATTCTTAAAAAACAACGTTTCCAAACTGCTGGATGATAAGAAAGTTTTATCTCTGTGGGACGAATGCATATGTCACAAAGCAGTTTCTCAGATAGTATCCTTCTAGTTTTTATTCTGGGATATTCTCTTTTTTGCCATTGGCCTCAATAAGCTCCCAAATGTCCATTCACAGAATGGACAATAATAGTTTCCCAAACTGCTGAATAAAAATAAAGGTTTAACTATGTGAGATTAATGGAGAAATCACAGATAAGTTTCTCAGAAAACTTCTTTCTACTTTTTATGTGAAGACATTTTATTTTTCACCATAGGCCTAAATGAGCTCCCAAATACCACTTTGCAGATTCTACAAAAACAGGTTTTCCAAACTGCCTAATGAAAAGGAATGTTTAGGTCAGTGAGATGAATGCACACATCACAAAGAAGTTTCCCACGAAGCTTCTTTCTAGTTTTTATCTGAAGATAATTTCTTATTCACCATAGGCCTCAATGTGCTACCAAATATCCCTTTGTAGATTCTACAAAAAGTTTTTCCAAACTGCTCAATGAAAAGAAACTTTTAACTCTGCAAGATAAATGCTCACATCACAAAGCAGTTTCTCAGATAGCTTCTTTCTAGTTTTTGTCCTTGGATATTCTCTTTTTCACCACTTTCCTTCATGCGCTCCCAAATATCCATTCAATGAATCAACAAAAACAGTGTTTCCAAACTGCTGAATCAAAAGAAAGGTTTAGCTCTAGGAGTTGAATGCACAAATTACAAAGCAATTTCTCAGAAATAGTCTTCCTTCTTTTTTCTGAACATATATTATTTTTCACCATAGTTCTCAAAGCACTCCCAAATATCCCTTTGCAGATACTACAAAAACAGTGTTTCCAAACTGCTGAATGAAATGCAACATTTAACGCTGTGAGATGCATGCACACATCATAAAGCAGTTTCTCAGCTAGCTTCCTTCTAGTTGTATCCTGGGATATTAGCTTTTTCACCATTGGCCTAATGAGCACACAAATGTCCATTCACAGAAAGGACAAAAGCAGTGTTTCTTAACTGCTGAATCAAAGAAAGGTTTAACTTGGCAGGATGCATGTGCACATCAGAAAGCAGTTTCTCAGACAGCTTCCTTCTAGTTTATACATTGGGATATTCACTTTTTTGCCATTGGCCTTAAGAAGCTCCCAAATGTCCATTCACAGAATAGACAAAAACAGTGTTTAAAAATACTGAATCAAAGCAAAAGTTTGAATCTGTGAGATGAATGCAAACATCACAAACCTGTTATTCAGACAGCTTCCTTCTAATTTTTATTTAGGGACATTCACTGTTTTGCCTTTGGCCTCAATGAGCTCCCAAATATTCACTCACAGGATGGACAAAAACAGTTTTTCAAAATTGTTGAATCAAAGGAAAAGTTTAACTCTGTGAGATGAATGCACACATCACCAAACAGTTTCTCAGATAGCTTCTTTCTAGTTTTTATACTTGGATATTCTCTTTTTCACCATTGGCCTCAATGATCTCCCTAATATCCATTCACAGAATGGACAAAAAAGGTGTTTCCAAACTGCTGAATCAAAAGCAAGGTTTAACTCTGTGAGATGAATGAAGACGTCACAAATCAGTTTCTCAGAAAACTTCTTTCTAGTTTTTGTCTGAAGCTATTTTCTTTTTCACCATAGACGTCAGTGTACTCCCAAATACCCATTGGCAGATTCTAGAAAAAGAGCTTTTCCAAACTGCTGAATGAAAAGAAAGTTTTAACTCTGTGAGATGAATGCACACATCATAAAAAGTTTTCTCAGATAGCTTCCTTCCAGTTTTTATCCTGGGATATTCACTTCTTTGCCATTGGCTTCAATTGGCTCCCAAATGTCCATTCACCAAATGGACAAAAACAGTGTTTCAAAACTGCTGAATCAAAGGAAAGGTTTAATTCTGTGAGAATAATGCACACATAAGAAATCAGTTTCTCAGAAAGCTTCTTTCTCGTTTTTATCTGAAGTTATTTTCTTTTTCACCATTGGCCTCAAAGAGCTCAAAAAGGCCAATCAAAGAATGGACAAAAACTTGTTTCAAAACTGGTGAATCCAAAGAAAGGTTTAAGTCTGTCAGATGAAAGCACACATGACAAAGTGGTTTCTCAGATAGCATCATTATAGTTTTCCTCCTGGTATATTCGCTTTTTTGCCATTGTCCTCAATGAGCTCTGAAATATCCATTTGCAGAATGGAAAAAACTGTGTTTCCAAACTGCTGAATTAAAAGGAAGGTTTAACTCTGTGAGATGAATGCAGACATCGCAAAGCAGTTTCTCAGAAAGCTTCTTTCTAGTTTTTATTTGAAGATATTTTCTTTTTCACCACAGGCCACAATACGCTCCCAAATGTCCCTTCAGCAATTATACAAAAACAGTGCTTCCAAACTGCTGAATGAAAACAAATGTTTAACTCAGTGACTTGAATGTACACATTGTAAAGCAGTTTCTCAGATAGCTTCCTTCTAGTTTTTATCCTGGTATATTCCCTTTTTCGCCATTGGCCTTAATGCACTCCCAAATATCCATTCACAGAATGTACAAAAACGATGTTTCCAAACGGCCTACTCAAAGGAAAGTTTTGACTCTGTTATGAATGCACACATAATAATGCAGTTTTTCAGATAGCTTCTTTCTAGTTTTTGTCCTGGATATTCTCTTTTTCACCACTGGCCTCAATGAGACCCCAAATGTCCTTTCATAGAATGGACAAAAACAATGTCTCCACACTGATGAATCAAAAGAAAGGATTAACTCTCTGAGATGAATGCACACATCACAATGTAATTCCTCAGAAAGCGTCTTTCTAGTTTTTAGATAAAGATATTCTCTTTTTCACCATAGGCTTCAAAGCTTTCCAAAATGTCCCTCCACAGATTCTACAAAAACAGAGTTTCCAAATTGCTGAATCAAAGGAACAGTTTAAGTCTGTGAGATGAATGCACACGTCACAAAGCAGTTTCTCAGATAGCTTCCTTCCAGTTTATATCCCTGGGTATTAACTTTTTTTGCCATAGGCCTCAATGTGCTCCCAAATATCCCTTTGCAGATTCTACAAAAGCAGTGATTCCAAACTGCTGAATGAAAAGACAGGTTTAACTTTGCGAGATGAATGCACACATCACAAAGGTATCTCTCAGAAAGCTTCTTTCTCATTTTTATCTGAAGATGTTTTCTTTTTCACCATAAGCCTCAATGTGCTCCCATATATCCCTTCATAGATTCTTCAAAAATGGTGTTTCCAAACTGCTGAATGAAAAAAAAGTTTTACCTCTGCAAGATGAATGCACCCATCACAAAGAAGTTTCTCAGAAACCTTCTATATACTTTTTTTCAGAAGGTATTTTCCTTGTCACCTCAGGCCTCATTGCACTCTCAATTGTCCATTTCAAGAATATACAAAAACATTATTTCCAAACTGCTGAATGAAAAAGAAAGGTGTAACTCTGGGAAATGAAATGCACACATCACAAAGCTGCTTCTCAGATACCTTCCTTCTAGTTTTTACCTCAGATATTCACTTTTATGTCATTGGTCTCAATGAGCTCCAAAATGTGCATTCACAAAATAGACAAAAACAAGGTTTCCAAAATGCTGAATCAAAAGAAAGGTTTATCCCTATGAGATGAATGGACAATTCACAAAGCATGTTCTCAGAAAGCTTCTTTCTTGTTTTAATTTGAAGACATTTTCTTTTTCACCATTGGCAACAATGTGCTCCCAACTGTCCACTCACAGAATGCACCAAAAGAGTGTTACTAAACTGCTTAATCAAAAGAAAGTTTTAACTCTGGGAGATGAATGCACACATCATGAAGCAGTATCTCAGATAGCTTCCTTCTAGTTTTTATAGAGGCATATTCCCTTTTTTGCCATTGGCCTCAATGAGCTCCTAAATGTTGATTCACAGAATGAACAAAAACAGTGTTTCCAATCTGCTGAGCCAAAAGAAAGGTTTAACTCCATGCAATGAATGCAAACATCACAAAGCAGTTTCTCAGCAAGAGTTCTTCTAGTTTTTATCTGAAGATATTTTCTTTTTCACCATAGGCCTCAAAGTGATCCCAAATGTCCATTCACAGAACATTAAAAAACAGTGTTTAAAAACCGCTGAATTGAAAGAAATGTTTATCTCTGGAAAATGAATGCGCACATCACAATGCAGTTTGCCAGATAGTCTCTTTCTTGTTTTTAAGCTGGGATATTCACTTGTTTGCCATTGGCCTCAATGAGGTCCAAAATGTCCATTAGCAGAATAGACAAAAAGAGTATTTCCAAATTGCTGAATCAAAAGAGAGCTTGAACTCTGAGAGATGAATGCACGCATAACAAAGCAGTTTCTCAGAAAGATTCAGTGAGCTCCCAAATGTCTCAATGAGCTCAGGGAGATCATTGAAACCAAAGGTGAAAAAGCAATTATCCCAGGATAAAAACTAGAAGGAAGAAATTTGAGAAAAAGGTTTGTGATGTGTGCATTCATCTCCTAGGGTTAAACCTTTCTTTTCATTCAGCAGTTTGGAAACACTGTTTTTGAAGGATCTGCAAAGGGATATTTGGGAGCACATTGAGGCCTGTGGTGAAAAGGAAAATATATTCTGATAAAAAGTAGAAAGAAGTTTTCTGAGAAACTTCTTGGTGATGTGTGCATTTAACTCACATATTTAAAACTTTCTTTTTATTCATCAGTTTGGAAACACTGTTTTTGTAGAATCTGTGAAGGGATATTTGGGAGCGCATTGAGGCTTATGGTGAAAAAGAAAATATCTTCAGATAAAAACTAGAAAGAAGCTTTCTGAGAAACTTCTTTGTGATTGTGCATTCATCTCACAGAGTTAAACCTTTCTTCTGATTCAGCAGTTTGGAAACACTGTTTTAGTCCATTCTGCGAATGGACATTTGGGAGCTCATTGAGGCCAAAAACAAAAAAGCAAATATCCCAGGATAAAAACTAGAAGGAAGCTGTCTGAGAAACTGCTTTGTGATGTGTGAATTCATCTCACAGAGTTAAAACATTCTGTTCATTCAGCAGTTTGGAAACACTGTTTGTGTAGAAGCTCCAAAGGGATATTTGGGAGCTCATTCAGGGCAGTGGCAAAAAAGTGAAAATCCCATGATTTAAACTAGAAGGAAACTATCTGAGAAACCGCTTTGTGATGTGTGCATTAATCTCACTGAGTTACAGATTTCTTTTCATTCAGCAGTTTGGAAACACTGTTTTTGTAGTATCTGCGAAGGCATATTTGGGAGTGCATTGAGGCCTATGGTGAAAAAGAAAATATGTTCAGATGAAAAATTGAAAGAGTCTTTCTGAGAAACTGCTTTGTGATGTGTGCATTCATCTCACAGAGTTAAACATTTCTTTTTATTCAGCAGTTTGGAAACACCATATTTGTCCATTCTGAGAACGGACATTTGGGAGCTCACTGAGGCCAGTGGGGAAAAAGCGAATATCCCAGGATTAAAAATAGAATGAAACTATGTGAGAAACTGGTTTGTGATGTCTGCATTCATCTTGCAAAATTAAACCTTTCTTTTTATTCAGCTGTTTGGAAAAACTGTTTTTGTAGAATCTGCCAAGGGATATTTTGGAGCGTTTTGAAGCCTATGGTGAAAAAGAAAATAACTTCAGATAAAAACTAGAAAGGATTCTGAGAAACTGCTTTGAGATGTGTGCATTAATCTCACAGAGATAAACGTTTCTTTGAATCAGCTGTTTGGAAACACTGTCTTTGTAGAATTTGTGAAGGGATGCTTGGGAGTGCATTGAAGCATGAGTTGAGAAAGGAAATATCTTCATAATAAAATTAGAAAGAAGTTCTCTTAGTAACTACTTTGTGAAGTCTTTATTCATCTCACAGAGTGAAGCCTTTCTTTTGATGGAGCAGTTTGGAAACACTGTCTGTCCATTCTGCGAGTGGACATTTGGGACCTCATTGAGGCCAATGTTGAAAAAGTGAATATCCCAGGATAAAAAGTAGTAGAAAGCTATCAGAGATACAGCTTTGTGATGTTTGCATTCATCTCACAGAGTTAAACCTTTCTTTTGATTCGGCAGTTTGCAAACACTGCTTTTGAAGAATCTGTGAAAGGACATTTGGGAATGCATTGATGCCTTTGGAGAAAAATAAAATATCCTCAGGTAAGAACTAGAAAGAAGCTTTCTGACAAACTGCTTTGTGATGTGTGCATTCATGTCACAGAGTTAAACATTTCTTTTAATTCAGGAGTTTAGGAACACTGATTTTGTGCATTCTGTGAGTGGACATTTCGGAGTTAATTGAGGCCAATTGTGAAAAAGCAAATGTCCCAAGATAAAAATTCGAGGGAAGCTATCTGAGATACTGCTCTGTGATGTGTTCATTCATCTCACAGAGAAAATTTTCTTTTGTTTCAGCAGTTTGGAAACACTGTTTAGAAAGAATCTTTCTGAGAAATTGTTTTGGGAAGTTTGCATTCATCTCACAGACTAAAACTTTCCTTTTGATTCAGCCGTGTGGAAACAGTGTTTTTGGAATCTGTGAAATGACATTTGGGATCATAATGAGGTCTATGGTGACAAAGAAAATATCTTCAGATTAAAAGCTTAAAGAAGCTTTCTGAGAAATTGATTTATGATGTGAGCATTCATATCATAGAGTTAAACCCTTATTTTAATTCAGCAGTTTGGAAACACTGTTTTTGTAAAATCTGTGAATTGACATTTGGGAGCTCATTGAGGCCAATGGTGAAAAAGTGAATATGCCAAAATAAAAATGGGTAGGAAGGTATCTGAGAAACCACTCTGTGATGTGTGCATTCATCTCACAGAGTTAATCCTTTCTTTTCATTCAGCAGTTTGGAAACATTATTTTTGTAAAATATGTAAAAGTCATTTGGGAGTGCTTTTCACCTATGTTGAAAAATAAATTATTTTCGGATAAAAACTAGAAGGAAGCTTTCTGAGAAACTGCTTTGAGTTGTGTGCATTCATCTCACAGAATTAAAGCATTCTTTTGATTCGGCTGTTTGTAAGCATTGTTTTTCTACAATGTGTGACAGGAATTTGGGATCATATTGAGATCTGTGGTGAAAAAGAAAATATCATCAGATAAAAACTATAAGAAAGATTTCTGAAGAACTGCTTTATGATGTGTGTATTCATCTCACAGAGTTAAACCTTTCTTTTGATTCAGCAGTTTGGAAACACTGTTTTTGTAGAATCTGAGAATGGGCATTTGGGACAACATTGAGCCCTGTGGTGAAAAAGGGAATATCCCTATAAGAAACTTGAAAGAATCTATCTGAGTAACTGATTTGTGGTGTGTGGATTCATCTCAAACAGGTAAAACCTTTTTTTGATTCAACAGTTAGGAAAAACTTTTTTTGTAGAGCCTGTGAAAGGACATTTAGGAGTGCATTGAAGTCTATGGTGAAAAAGCGATTATTTTTATATAAAAACTGGAAAGAAGCTATTGGTGAAACTGCTTTGCGATGTGTGGATTCATCTCACAGATTTAAATTTTTATTTTGATTAATCAGCTTGGAAACACTGTTTTTGCAGAATCTGCAGAGGGACACTTGACAGCTCCTTGAGTCCCATGATGAAAAAGTGAATATTCCCAGATTAAAACTAGAATGAATCTATCTGATGAAATGCTTTGTGAAGTGTGCATTCAACGCACAGAGTTAAACATTTCTTTTGATTGAGGAGTTTGGAAACACTGTTTTTGTAGAATCTGTGAAAGGACATTTCAGAGCGCATTGGTGCCTTTAGAGAAAAATAAAATATCTTCAGATAAAAACTAGAAAGAAGCTTTCTGAGAAACTGATTTATGATGTGTGCATTCATGTCACAGAGTTAAACATTTCTTTTGATTCAGGAGTTTGGAAACACTGTTTTTGTACATTCAGTGAGTGGACATTTCAGAGCTCATTGAGGCCAATTGTGAAAAACTGAATGTCCAAAGATAAAAACTCGTTGGAAGCTATCTGAGAATCTGCTCTTTGATGTGTTCATTCATCTCACAGTTATAAACCTTTCTTTTGTGTCAGCAATTTGGAAACACTGTTTAGAAAGAATCTCTCTGAGAAACTGCTTTGTGAAGAGTGCATTCATCTCTCAGAGTTAAACTTTTCTTTTGATTCAACAGTTTGGAAACACTGTTTTTTTAGAATCTGTGAAATGAGATTTGGAATCGTAATGAGGTCTATGGTGAAAAAGAATATCTTCATATTAAAAGTTTAAAGAAGCTTTCTGAGAAACTGATTCATGATGTGTGCATTCATCTCACAGAGTTAAACAATTACTTTAATTCAGCAGTTTGGAAACACTGTTTGTGTAAAACCTGTGAATGGACTTTTGGGAGCTCATTGAGGCCAATGGTAAAAAAGTGAATATCCCAAAATAAAAACTGGTAGGAAGATATCTGAGAAACCACTTTGTGATGTGTGCATACATCTCACAGAGCTAATCCTTTCTTTTGATTCAGCAGTTTGGAAACACTGCTTTTGTAGTATCTGGCAATGGACATTTGGGACTGCATTGAGGCCTATGGTGAAAAAGGGAATATACCTATAAGAAACTTGAAAGAATCTATCTGAGGAACTGATTTGTGATGTGTGGATTCATCTCAAAGAGTTAAATCCTTCTTTTCCTTCATCATTTTGGAAAAACTTTTTTTGTAGAGTCTATGAAAGGATATTTGGGAGTGTATTGAGGTCTATGGTGAAAAATGAATATCTTTATATGAAAACTGGGAAGAAGCTATAGGTGAAACTGCTTTATGATGTGTGGATTCATCTCAGAGTTTTAAATTTTTGTTTTGATTCATCAGTTTGGAAATACTGTTTTTGTAGAATCTGCAAAGGGGCATTTGAGAGCTCCTTGAGTCCCATGATGAAAAAGTGAATATTCCCAGATGAAAACTAGAATGAAGCTATCTGATGAACTTCTTTGTGAAGTGTGCATTCAACTCACAGAGTTAAACATTTCTTTTGATTGAGGAGTTTGGAAACACTGTTTTTATAGAGCCTGTGAATGGACTTTTGGGAGAGCATTGAGGCCTTTTTTGAAAAAGGAAATATATTTGGATATAAACCTGAAAGAAGCGATCTGAGATACTGTTTTTTGATGTGTGGATTCATCTCACAGAGTTAAATCCTTCTTTTGATTCAGCATGTTGGAAACACTGTTTTTGTAGAATCTCTGAAGGGACATTTGGAACTGACTGAGACCTGTGGTGAACAGGAGAATATCCCCAGTTACAAACTAGAAAGAATGTGCCTGAGAAACTCCTCTGTGATGTGTGCATCCATCTAAGAAAGTTAAACCTTGCTTTTGATTCAGTTGTTTGGAAACACTGTTTTTGTAGGACCTGTGAAAGGACATTTGGGAGTGCATTGAGGTCTTTGTTGAAAAAGCAAATATATTCAGATATAAACTGAAGGGAGTCTATCTGAGATACTGCTTTTTGATGTGTGCATTCGTCTCATAGAGTTAAACCATCCTTTTGATTCAGCAGTTTGGACACACTGTTTTTGTAGAATTTGTGAAAAGACATTTTTGAGCTCATTGAGGCCTTTGGTGATAAAAAGATATACCCAGATAAAAACTAGAAAGATGTTATCTGTCAAACTGCTTTGTGATGTGTGGAATCATCTCACAGAGTTAAACCTTTCTTCTGATTCAGCAGTTTGGAAACACTGTTTTTGTAGTTTCTGTGAAAGAACATTTGGGAGCACATTGAGGCCTATGGTGAAAAAGCGAATATCCCCAGATAAAAGTTAGAAAGAAGCTATGTGAGAAACTGCTTTGTGGTGTGTGCATTCAACTCACAGAGTTAGCCTTTCTTTTGATTCAACATTTAGGAAACACTGTTTTTTAGAATCTGTGAAGGAACATTTGGGAGCACTTTTAGATCTATGGTGAAAAAACATATATCCCCAGATAAAAACTAGAAAGAAGTTATCTTTGAAATTGATTTGTGATGTGTGGATTCATCTCAAAGATTTAAACCTATCTTTTGATTCAGTAGTTTGGAAACCACGTTTTTGTAGAATCTGCCAAGGGACACTTGGGAGCTCATTGAGAACAATGTTGGAAAAGCAAATATTCACTGATAAAACTAGAAAGAAGCTATATGTGAAAGTTATTTGTGATGTGTGGATTTATCTTCCAGTGTTAATCTTTTCTTTGGATTCAGCATGTTGGAAACACTGTTTCTGTAGAATCTGCAAAGGGATATTTGGGAGTGCATTGAAGCCAGCCATGAAAGAGTGACTATCCCCGTATAAAAACAAGAAAGAAGCTATCTGCAAAACTGCTTTGTCATGTTTGGATTCAGCTGACCGAGTTAAGACTTCCTTTTCATTCAGCAGTTTGGAAACACTGTTTTTGTAGAATCTACAAAGGGACACTTGCAAACACATTGAGGCCTACAATAAAAAAGAAAATATTCGAAGATAAATCTTGAAAGAAGCTGCATGTGAAACTGCTTTGTGATGTGTAGATTCGTCTCACAGAGTTAAAGACTTGTTTCAATTCAGCAATTTTGAAACACTGTTTCTGTAGAATCCACAAGCAGACATTTGGGAGCCCATTGATGCCTATGGTGAAAAAGTGAATATCTCCAGATAAAAACCAGAAAGCAGCTTGCTGTGAACCTACTTTTTGATGTCTGGATTCATCTAAGAGAGTTAAAAATTTATTTTGTATTAGCAGTTTGGAAACACTGTTTTTGTAGAATCTCTGAAAGGTCATTTGGGAAGGCATTGAGGCCTATGGTAAAGAGGCAAATATACCCAGATAAAACCTAGAAATAAGCTATTTGTTAAATTGTTTTGTGATGTATGGAAGCATCTCACAGAGATAAACCTTTCTTTGGATTCAGCAGTTTGGAAACTGTTTTTTTAGAATCTGTGAAGGGATATTTGGGAGTGCTTTGAGACCTGTGGTGAAAAAGTGAATATCCCCAGAAAGAAACTAAAAAAAAAAAAAAAAAGAGCTATCTGTTAAACTTTTTTGGGATGTGTGGATTCATCTCACAGAGTTAAACCTTTCTTTTGATTCAGCAGTTTGGAAACACTGTTTTAGTAGAATCTGCAAAGGAACATTTCAGAGCTAATTGAGGCCCTGGCAGAGAAGTGTATATTCCGAGATAAAAACTAGAAAGAAGCTATCTGAGGAACTGCTTTGTGATGTGTGTATTCATCTGACAGAGTTAAACCTTGATTTTCAATCAGCAGTTTTGAAACACTGTTGTTGTAGAATCTACAAAAGGACATTTGGGAGCGCATTGACGGATATAGTGAAAAAGCGAATATCTCCACATAAAAACTAGAAAGAAGCTATCTGAGCAACCGTTTTGTGATGTGTGCATTCAAATGACAGAATGAAACTTTTCTTTTGATTCTGCAGTTTGGAAATTTTTTTTTTTGTAGAATCTGTGAAGGCACATTTGGGAGAGCTTGAAGCACATGGTGAAAAAGTGAATATCCTCAGATAAAAACTAGAAAAAAGTTGTCTGTGAAACTGCTGTTGCTGTGTGGATTCATCTAACAGAGTTAAGCCTTTCTTTTGATTTAGCAGTTTGGAAACAATGTTTTTGTAGAATCTGCAAAGTGCTCATTGATGCATATAGTGAAAAACAAATAACCCTAGATAAAAACTACAAAGAAGCTTTTTGTTAATCTGCCTTGGGATGTGTGGATTCATCTCACAGACTTAAAAATTTCCTTTGATTTAGCAGTTCGGAAACACTGTTTTTGTAGCAGCGTCAAAGGGACTTTTGGGAGTACATTGAGGCCTGTGGTAAAAAAGGAAATGTCCCCATATAAAAACCAGAAAGAATCTATCTAAGAAACTGTTTTGTGATGTGTGCATTCAACTCAGAGAGATAAACATTTCTATTCATTCAGCAGTTTGTACCACTGTTTTGTAGAACCTTTGAAGGGACATTAGGGAAGCCTTTGAGTCCTATGGTGAAAGGGCAAATATCCTCAAATAAAAACTACAAAGAAGCTATCTGTGAAACTGCTTTGTGAATGGTGCATTCATATCACAGATTTAAATTTTTCTTTTGATTCAACAGTTTGGAAAAACTGTTTTTGTAGAATCTGTGAAGGGAAATTTGGGAAGTCATTGAGGCCTAATGGGAAAAGGCAAATATCCAATGATAAAAACTAGAAAGAAGCTATCTGTGAAACTGCTTCATGATGTGTGCATTTATCTCTCAGAGTTAATCCTTTCTTTTGATTCAGCACGTTGGAAACACTATTTCTTTAGAATCTTCAAAGGGACATTTGGGAGGTCATTGAGGCCTATGGTAATGAAGAGAATATCCCCAATAAAAACTAGAAAGAAGATATGTGGAAAAGTATTTTGTGTGTGTAAATTCATCTGGCAGAGTTAACCCTTTCTTTTGATTCAGCAGTTTGGAAACACTGTTTTTGTAGAATCTATGAAGGGACATTTGGGAGGTCATTGAGGCCAATGGTGACAAAGAGAAAATCACAAGATAAAAACTAGAAAGAAGCTATCTGTGAACTGCTTTGTTATATGCACATTCATCTCACAGAGGGAAAACTTTATTTTGATTCAGCAGTTTGGAGACACTGTTTTTGTAGAATCTATGAAAGGACATTTGAGAGGGAATTGAGTCCTATGGTGAAAATGCAAACATCTCCAGATAAAAAACTACAAAGAAGCTATCTGCAAAACTGCTTTGTGATGTATGGATTTATCTCAGACAGTTAAGACTTTCCTTTGATTCAGCACCTTAGAAAAACTATTTTTGTAGAATCTGCAAATGGATATTTGGGACCTCATTGAAATCTATGGTGAAAAAGAGTATATCCCCATATAAAAACTAGAAAGAAGATACCTGTTAGGCTGCATTGTGTTGTGTGGATTCATCTCACATTGTTAAACCTTTGTTTTGATTCAGCAGTTTGGAAACACTGATTTGTAGTATCTGCAGAGGGATATTTGAAATCTCTTTGAGGCCAAAAGTGAAATACTGAATATCTCCAGATAAAAACTAAAAAAAAAAAAATCTGTCTGTTAAACTGCTTTGTGATGTGTCAACTTATCTCATAGAATTAAACCTTTCTTTTGATTCAGCAGTTTGGAAAAACTGTTTTTGTAAAATCTGTAAAAGGACATTGGGAGTGAATTGAGTCCTGTGGTTAAAAAGGGAATAAACCCAGATAAAAACTAAAATGAAGCTATTGGTTAAATTGCTTTGTGTTGTGTGGATTCATCTCAGAGAGTTAAGCTTTTCATTATATTCAGCAGCTTGGAAACACTGTTTTTGTAGAATCTGTGAATGGATATTTTGGAACTCACTGAGACCAACGGTGAAAAAGTGAATATCCCCAGATAAAAAGTAGAATGAAGCTATCTGTGAATCCGCTTTGTGATGTATGGATTCATCTCAAAGAGTTAAATCTTTCTTTTGATTCAGCACATTGGAAACACTTTCTGTTGAATCTGTGAATGGATATTTGGGAGTGCATTGAGGACTATGGTGAAAAAACCGAATATCCCCAGATAAAAACTAAAAAGAAGCTACCTGTGAAACTGCTTTCTGATGTGTGGATTCATCTCACAGAGGTAAACTTTTCTGTTCTGCACTTTGGAAACATTTTTTTTTTTTTTTGCAGAATCTGTGAAGGGACATTTGGGAGCTCATGAGGCCTATGGTAAAGAAGGTAATATTCACAGTTAAAAACTAGACAGAAGCTCTCTGTGAGACTGCTTTGTGATGTTTGTATTCATCTCACAGAGTTAAATCTTTCTTTCGATTCAGCTATTTGGAAACACTGTTTTGTAGGATCTGTGAAGGGACATTTGGGAACTCATTGATGCCCGTGGTGAAAAGGCAATTATCCCCAGATAAACACAGAAAGAAGCTATCAGTGAAACTGCTTTTTGATGTGTGGATTTGTCTCACAGATTTAAACCTCGATTTTGAATCACCAGTTTGGAAACACTATTTTTGTAGAATGTGCAAAAGGACATCTCAGAGAGAATAGTGGCCTGTGGTGAAAAAGCCAATATCCCCCGATAAAAAATAGGAAGAAGCTAACTGTGAAAATGCTTTGTCATGTGTGGATTTATCTCACAGAATTAAGCCTTTCTTTTGATTAGGATGTTGTAAACACTGTTTCTGTAGATTCTGTGAGGGACATTTTGGAACTCATTGAGACCTATGGTGAAAAAATGAATATCCCCAGATGAAAACTAGAAAGAAGCTATCTGTTAAGCTGCTTTGTTATGTGTGATTCATCTCAGAGAGTTAAAACTTCATTTTGATTCAGCATGTTGGAAACAGTCCTTTTGTAGTATCTGTGAAGGGTTATTTTGGGGAGCATTGAGGACTATACTGACAAACTGGATATCTCAAGATAAAAACTAGAAAGAAGTTTCTGTGAAGCTGCTTTGTGATGTGTGGATTTATCTCAGAGAGTTAAACCTTTCTTTTGATTCAACAGTTTGGAAAAAGTGTTATTGGGGAATCTATGAAGGGACATTTTTGGAGTGTGTTGAGGTCTATTGTGACAAACTGAATATCCCCAGATAAAAACTAGAAAGAAGCTACCTGTGAAACTGCTTTATGATGTCTGGATTTATCTCACAGAGTTAAACTTTTTTTTGATTCGGTAGGTTGGAAACAGTCTTTTTCAAGAATCTGCAAAGGGAGATTTCGTAGTGCATTGAGGCCTATTGTGAAAAAGCAAATATCTCCATATAAAAACTAGAAAGAAGCTATTTGTGAAACTGCTTTGTGACAGATGGATTCATCTCACAGAGTTAAGCCTTTCTTTTGATTCAGCAGGTTGGAAACAGTCCTTTTGTAGATTCTGGGAAGAGACATTTAGAGTGCATTCAGACCTGTGGTGTGGAAGAGAACATCCCCAGATAAAACTGGAAAGAAGCTATCTGTTAAATTGCTTTGTGATGTGTAAATTCATCTCACAGAATTAAGCCTTTTTTTTTCATTCAGCAGTTTTGAAACACTGTTGTGGTTGAGTCTGCGAAGGGACATTTGGGAGCTCATTGACACCTATGTTGTAAAACCAAATATCCCCAGATAAAAACTAGAAATAAGCTATCTGTGAAACTGCTTTGGGAAGTGTGGATTTATCTCACAGGGTTAAACTTTTTTTTTTGATTCAGCAGTTTGGAAACACTGTTTTTGTAGAATCTACAAAGGGATAATTGAGTCTGCATTCTGGCCTATGTTGATAAATAGAATATCCCCAGATAAAAACTAGAAAGACGCTGTCTGTGAAACTGCTTTGTGATGTGTGGATTTACCTCAGGAAGTTAAACTTCTCTTTTCATTCAGCAGTTTGGAACACTGTTATTGTAGAAACTGTGAAGGGATGTTTTGGAGCTCATTGAGGCCTTTAGTGAAGAAGCAAATAACTCCAGATAAAAACTAGAAAGAAGTTATCTGTGAAACTGCTTTGTGATCTGTGGATTCTTCTCACAGGGTTAAAACTTTCTTTTGATTCAGCAGGTTAAAAATAGTCTTTTTGTAGAATCTGTGATGTGACATTTGGGAGCACATTGAGGCCTATGGTGGCAAACAGAATATACTGAGATAAAAACTAAAAAGAAGCTATCTGTGAAACTGCTTTGTCATGTTTGAATTCAACTCAGAGAGTTAAAACTTTCTTTTCCTTTAGCAGTTTGAAAACACTGTTTGCATAGAATCCACGAAGGGACATTTGGGAGCTTATTGAGGCCTATGGTGTAAAAGAAAATACATCCAGACAAAAACTGGAAGGAAGCTATCTCTGAAACTGCTGTGTGATGTTTGGATTCAACTCACAGAATTAAACTTTTCTTTTGATTCAGCAGTTTGGACACACTGTTTGTATAGAGTCTGTGAAGGGAAATTTAGGAGCACATTGAGGCCTATAGTGAAACTGTGAATATCCCCAGGTAAAAAGTAGAAAGAAGTTATCTGTGAAACTTCTTTGTGATATGTGCATTCTTCTCACAGAAATAAACTTTTTTTTATTCAGCACGATAGAAACAGTCCTTTTGCAGAATCTGTGAAAGGAAAATTGGGAGTGCATTCTGACCTGTGGTGATAAACTGCATATCCCCAGATAAAAACTAGAATGATGCTAACTGTGAAACTACTTTGTGATGAGTGGATTCAACTCAGAGTGTTAAAACTTTGTTTTGATGCAGCAGTTTGGAAACACTCTTTTTGAAAAATCTCTGTAGGGATATTTTGAGATGCATTTAGGCCTATGTTGAAAATGTGATTATCTCCAGATAAAAAATAAAAAGAATTTCTTTGTGAAACTGCTTTGTGATGTGTGGATTCTTCTCAGAGTTAAAACTTTGTTTTGATTAAGCAGGTTGGAAACAGACTTTTTGTAGAATCTTAGAAGAGACATTTCAGAGCCATTGAGGCCTGGTGTAACAAACCAAATATCCCCACATAAAAACTAGAAAGAAGCTGTTTGTGACACGCTTTGTGTGTATGGATTCATTTCACAGAAAGAAATCTTGCTTTTGATTCCTTGGTTTGGAAACAATGTTGTTATAGAATCTGTGAAGGGACAATTTGGAGCTCATTGAGGCCTAGGGTGAAAAAGCAAATATACCCAGATAAAAACTAGAAGGAAGCTCTGTGTGAAACTGCCTTGTGATGTGTGGATGCATATCATAGTGTTAAACCTTTCTTTTGATTCAGCAGTTTGGAAATACTCTATTTGAAGAAGATAAAAACTAGAAATAAGCCATCTGAGAAACTGTTTTATGGTGTGTGCGTTAGTCTCACAGAGTTAATACTTTCTTTTGATTCAGCAGGTTAAAAACAGTCCTTTTGTAGGATCTGCCAAGAAGCATTTGGGAGTGCATTGTGGGCTATGGTGACAAACCGAATATCCCCAGATAAAAACTAGAAAGAAGCTATCTGTGAAGCTGCTCTGTGATGTGTGGATTCGTCTCAAAGATTTAAACCTTTCTTTTGATTTAGCAGAATGGAAATAGCCCTTTTGTAGAATCTCTCATACTGCTTTGTGATGTGTGGATTCATTTCACAGAGGTAAACCTTTCTATTGATTCAGCAGGTTGGGATCAGTCCTTTTGTAGAATCCACAAAGGGACATTTGATAGTGCATTGACGCCTATGGTGACAAACTGAATATCCAAAGATGAAAAGTAGAAAGAAGCCATCTGTGAAACTATTCCATGACGTGTGGATTCATCTCACAGAAGTAAAACTTTCTTCTGAATCAGCGGGTTGGAAACATTGCTTTTCTAGAATCCATGAAAAGACATTTGGCAACTTGTTGAGGCCTAAGGTGAAAAAGAGAATATCCCCAAATAAAAACTAGAAAGAAGTTAGCTGTGAAACTGTTTAGAGATGTGTGGATTCTTCTCACAGACTGGAACCTTTCTTTTAATTCAGCAGGTTGGAAACAGTCCTTTTTTAGTATCTGCAAAAGGACATTAGGGAGTACATTGAGGGCTACAGTGATAAACCAAATAACTCCAAATAAAAAGTAGAAAGAAGTTATCTGTGAAACTGCTTTGTGATGTGTGGATTCATCTCTCAGAGTTAAACCTTTCTTTTGATACAGCAATTTGGAAACACTGTTTTTGTAGAATCTGCAAAGGGGTATTTGGGAGCTCACTGAGGCCTATGGTGACAAACTAAATATCCCCATATAAAAACTAGAAAGAAGATATCTGTGAAACCCCTTTGTGATGTGTGGATTCAATTCAGAGAGATAAACCATTTTTTTGATTCAGCAGTTTTTAAACACTGTTTGAGTAGAATCTGCAAAGAGATATTTGGGGGCTCATAGAGGCTTATGGTGAAAAAGCCAGTATCGCAAGATAAAAACTAAAAAGAAGCTATCTGTGAAACTGCTTTGTGATGTGTGGATTCATCTCACAGAGTTAAGCTTTTCTGTTGATTCAGTAGTTTGCAAACACTTTTTTTGTAGAATCTGCAAATTGACATTAGTGAGCGCATCGAGGCCTATAGAGAAAAAGCCAATATCCCCAGATAAAAACTAGAAATAAGCCACAAGCTAACCTGCTTTATGACGTGTGGATTCATCTCAGAGAGTTAAAACTTCCTCTTGGTTAAGTAGTTTCAAAACACTCTTTTTGTAGAATCTGTGAGGAAACATTTGGGAGCTCTTTTTGGCCTATGGTGAAAAAGCAAGTATCCAAAGATAAAAACTAGAGAGAGGCTCTCTGTGAAACCGCTTTGCAATGTGTGGATTCTTCTTACAGAACTAAACGTTCTTTTTCATTCAGCAGGTTGGAAACAGTCCTTTTTTAGCATCTGCAAAAGGACATTTTGGAGTGCATTGAGGCCTATGGTGACAAACTGAATATCCCCAGATAAAAACTAGAAAGAAGTTATCTGTGAAACTGCTTTGTGATGTATGGCTTCATCTCATGCAGTTTAACAATTCTCTTGATTAAGCAGATTGGAAATGCACTTTTTGTAGAATCTGCAAAGGGACATTTGGGAGCCCCTCGAGGTCTATCAGAAAAAAAGAATACACCCAGATAAAAATTAAAAATAATCTATCTGTGAATCTGCTATGTGATATGTGGATTTATGTCACAGAGTTAAACCTTTCTTTGGATTCAGCTGTTTGGAGACACTCGTTTTGGAGAATACGTGAAAGGACACTTGGGAGCCCATTGAAGCCTATGTGGAAAACTGAATATACCCAGATAACAATTAGAAAGAAGCTATCTGTGTAAGTGCTTTGTGATGAGTCAATTCATCTCACAGATTTAAACTTTTCTTTTGACTAAGCAGTTTGGAAACACTCTAATTGGAGAATCAGTGAAAAGACTTTGGGAAGCCCCTTGAGGCCTATGAGAAAAAACGAAATATCCCAAGATAAAAACTAGGAAGAATCTCTCTGTAAAATTGCTTTGTCATATTTGGGTTCATCTCACATAGTTAAACGTTTGTTTTGACTCAGCAGGTTGGAATCACTTTTTTTGGAGAATCTGTGAAGGCACATTAGGAAGCCCATTGATGCCTATGGGGAAAAACTGCATATCCCCAGATAAAAACCAGAAAAACTATCTGTGAAACTGCCTTGTGATGTGTGGATTCATCTCACAGAGTTAAACCTTTCTTTTGATTCAGCAGGTTGTAAATGGTCTAACTGAAGAATTTTCTAAATGACATTTTGGAGCCTGTTGCAGCCTATGGGGAAAAACCAAATATCCTCAAATAAAAACTAGAAAGAAGTTGTCTGTGAAACTGCTTTGTGATGTGTGGATTCATCTCACAGAGTCAAACCTTTTTTTTATTCATGAGGTTGAAAACGCTGTTTTTCTAGAATCTTTGAAAGGACATTTGGGAGCCCATTGAGGGTTATGAAAGAAGCTATCTGTGAAACAACTTTGTGATGTGTGGATTCAGGTCACATAGTTAAAACTTTATTTTCATTCAGCAGGTTGGAAACACTCTTTTTGGATGATCTGTAAAGGGAAATTAGGGAGCCCATTGAGGCCTATGGGGAAAAACTGAATATCCCCAGATAAAAACTAGAAAGAAGCTATCTGTGAAACTCCTTTGTGATATGTCAATTCATCTCACAGAGTGAAACGTTTATTTTGATCCACCAGGTTGGGAACACTCTTTTTTCAGACTCTGTGAAGGGACATTATGGTGTCCATTGAGGCTTATATGTAAAAACAAAATATCCCCACATGAAAACTAGAAAAAAGCTATCTGTGAAAAAGCTTTGTGTTGTGTGGATCCATCTCAAAGAGTTAAACAACTCTTGTGATCCAGCAGGTTGTAAATACTCTTTTTTGGAGAATCTGCAATGGGACATTTGGGAGCCCATGGAGGCCTATGGAAAATAAGTTAATATCCCCAGATAAAGCTAGGAAGAAGCTCTCTGTGAAACTGTTTTGTGATATGTGGATTCATCTCACAGAGCAAAAGCTTTTTTTGATTCAAAAGGTTGGAAACACTCTTTTTTGAGAATCTGCAAAGGGACATTTGGGAGCACATTGAGGCCTATGGGGAAAAAATAAATATTCCCAGATAAAAACCAGACAGAAGCTATATCTGAAACTGCTTTGTGATGTGTGGATTCATCTCACAGAGTTAAACATTTTTTTTTATTTAGCAGGTTGGAAAAACTCTTTTTGGAGAATCAACAAAGTGACATTAGGAGCCCATTTAGGCTCCCTCAGAATATCCTCACAATATCCTCAGATGAAAACTACAAAGAAGCTATCTGTGAAACGATTTGTGGCATGCAGCTTCATCTCACAGAGTTAAACTGTTCTTTTGATTCAGCAAGTTAGAAACACTCTTTTTGGAGATTCTGTGAAAGGACATTTGGGAACCCATTGAAAACTAAGGGGAAAAATTGAATATTTCCAGATAAAAAACTGGAAAAGAGATATCCATGAAACTGCTTTATGAGGTTTCAACTCATCTCACAAACTTAATCCTTTATTCTGATTCAGCAGGTTGGGAGCACTCTAATTGGAGAATCAGCAAAGGGACATATAGGAGCCTATTTAGACTTATGGGGAAAAATCAAATATCCTCAGTTAAAAACAAACAAAAAGCTATCCATGAAACTGCTGTGTGATGTGTGGATTCATCTCAGAAAGTTGAGATTTTCTTCTTATTCAGCAGGTTGGAAACACTGTTTTTGGAAAATCTGGAAAGGGACATTTGGGAGCCCTTTGAGGCCTGTGGGAAAAACCGAATATCCCCAGATAAAAACTAGAAAGAAGCTATCTGTGAAACTGCTTTGTGATGTGTGGATTTATTTCACAGAATTAAAACTTTCTTTTGATTCCACAGGTTGGAAACACCATTTTTGGAAAGCATGTGATGGGACATTTGAGAGCCCCTTGAGGCTTATGGGAAACTCTAAATATCTCCAGATAAATACTCAAATGAAGCTATCTGTGAAACTGCTTTGTGATGTGTGGATTCATCTCATAGAGTTAAACCTTTCCTTTGATTCAGCAGGTTGGAAACCCTCTTCTTGGAAAATATGTGATGGTATATTTGGGAGCCCATTGAGGCCTTTGGGGAAAAACAGAATATTCCCAGATCAAAACTATAAAGATGCTATCTCTGAAACTACTTTGTGATGTGTGGATTTATCTCAGACAGTTAAACCTTCCTTTTGATTCAGCAAGTTGGAAACACTCTTTTGGGGAATCTGTGAAGGAATACATTGTAACCCTTTGAGGACATTGGGGAAAATCAAATATTCCCAGATAAAAACTAGAAAGAAGCCATGTGTGACACAGCTTTGTGATGTGTGGATTAATTTCACAGCATTAAAACTTTCTTTTGATTCTGCAGGTTGGAAACACTTTTTTTTTGGAGAATCTTCAAAGAGAAATTAGCAAGCACATTGTGGCATACATGAAAAAGCAGAATATTCCCAGATAAAACATTGAAAGAAGGTTTTATTCAGCAGGATGGAAACACTCTCTTTGTAGAATCTATGAAGGCACATTTGGGAGCCATTTGAGACCTATCAGGAAAAAAAGGATATCCCTGGATAAAAAAACACAAATAAGCTACCTGTGAAACTTCTTTGTGATGCATGGATTCAGATTACAGAGCTAAACCTTTCTTATGATTCCACAGTTTGGTAAAACTCTTTTTGGAGAATCTGTGATGGGACTTTTGGAAGTTTTTTGAAACTTATGAAAATAAATTGAATATCCCCAGATAAAAACTACAAAGAATTTTTATGTGAAATGCTTTGTGATATGTAGATTCATCTCACAGAGTTAAATTTTTCTTTTGATTCAGCATGTTGGAAACACTCTTTTTGGAGAATCTGCAAAGGGACATTTGGAAGCCCACTGAGGTCCTTGGAATAAAAACCAAATATCCCCAGATAAAAGAGAACAAAAATGCTGGCTGAAATGGCTTTGTGATGTGTGTATTCAATTCACAGATTTAAAATTTCATTTTGATTCAGCAAGTTGGAAGCATTCTTTTGGAGCATCTGTGAAGGGACATTTTGGAGTTCATTGTAGCCTATGGGGAAAAACTGAATATCAGAGATAAAAATTAAAAACAAGGTATCTGTGAAACAGTATTGTGATGTGTGGATGCATCTCACGAGTTAATGTTTTCTTCTTGTTCAGAGGGTTGCAAACACTCTTTTTGTAGAATCTGTGAAGGGACATTTTGGAGTTCCTTAAGGCCTATGGGGAAAATCGAATATCACCACATAACAACCACAAAGAAGCTATTAGTGAAACAGCTTTGTGATAGGTGGATTCGTCTCACAGTGTTAAACCTTTCTTTTGATTCAGCAGGATTAAAACACTCTTTTTGAGAAACTGTGAAGACACATTTCAGAGCCCATTGTGGCCTACAAAGAAAAATAGAATATCACCAGATAGAAAAACGAAAGAAGCTATCTGAAACTGCTTTGTGATGTGTATTCATCTCATGGAGTTAAAATTTTCTTATGATTCTGCAGGTTGGAAATACTCTTTTTGGAAAATATGTGATGGGACATTTGAAAGCCCATTTAGGCCTGTGAAGGAAAACAGAATATCTCCAGATAAAATCTAGAGAGAAGATATCTGCTTTCTGATGTGTGGATTCATCCCATAGCATTATATCTTTCTTTTGATTCAGCAGACTGTAAATGCACTTCCTGGAAAATATGCGATGGGACATTTGGGAGCCCATTGAGGCCTATGGGGAAAACAGAATATCCTGATAAAAACTAGGAAGAAGCTCTGTGTCATACTACTTTGTGATGTGTGGATTTAACCCACAGAGTTAAAACTTTCTTTTGATTCAGGCGGTTGGAAACACTCTTTTGGTTAATCTGCAAAGGGACAAATGATAACCCATTGAGGTCTATGAGGAAAAACTGAATATACCAAGATAAAAACTAAAAAGAAGCTATTATTTGTGAAATGGCTTTGTGATGGGTGGATTAATCTCACAGTGCTAAACAATCATTTTGATGCTGCAGGTTTGAAACAATTTTTTTGTAGAATCAGCAAAGGGACTTTTGGGAGCTCATTGAGGCCTCTAGTGAAAAAGCGAATATCCCCAGATAAAAACTAGAAAGAAGCTATCTGTGAAACTGCTTTGTAATATGTTGATTTATCTCACAGAGTTAAATTTTTCTTCTTATTCGCACGTTGGAAGCCCTCCTTTTGTAGAATCTGCAAAGGTACATTTGGAAGCCCATGGAGGCCTGTTAAGAAGCACCAAATATCCCCAGATAAAAACTAGAAAGAAACTCTCTGTGAAACTGCCTTGTGAAGTGTGGATTCAGCTCACAGAGTTAAACCTTTGTTTTGATTCAGTAGGTTGGAAACACTCTAATTGGAGAATCTGAAAACTGACATTTGTGAGCCCACTGAGGCCTCTGGTGAAAAACAGAGTATCCCCAGATAAAAACTTGAAAGAATTTATCTGTGAAACGGCTTTGAGATGTGTGGTTTCATCTCACAGTGTTAAAACTGTCTTTTGTTTAAGCAGGATGGAAACACTGTTTTTGGAGAATCTGTGAAGTGACACTTGGGGGCCCATTGAGACTCAGGGTAAAAACAGAACATCCCTAGATAAAAACTAGAAACAAGCTATTTGCAAAAATGCTTTGTGATGTGTGGATTCATCTTAGAGAGTTAAATGTTTCTTCTTATTCAGCAGTCTGGAAACACTCATTTTGTAGTATCTGTGAAGGGACATTTTGGGGCCTTTGTAGGCCTATGGGTAAAAACAGAATATTACCAGATAAAAACATAAAAGGAGTTATCTGTAAAACAGCTTTGTGATGTGGGGATTCATCTCACAAAGTTAAACATTTCTTTTGGTTCAGCATGGTGGAAACACTCTTTTTGGAGAATCTTCGATGGGACAATTGGGAGCCCATGTAGACCTATGGGGAAAAACCGGATATCCCCAAATAGAAACTACAATGCAGCTATCTATGAAACTACTTTGTGATGTGTGGATTCTTCTCACAGAGAAAAAAAACCTTTCTTTTAATTCAGCAGTTTGGAACCACTTTTTTCTGTAGATTCTGTGAATTGAAATTTGGAAGCAAATTGAAGACTAATGGGAAAAACTGAATATCCCGATAAAAACTAGAAATAATCTACCTGTGAAACTACTTTGTGATGTCTGAAATCATCTCACAGAGTTAAACCTTTCTTTTGATTCAGCACGTTGGACTCACTCTTTTTGGAGAATCTGTGAAGGGACATTTAAGAACCCCTTGGGGCCTAAGGGGAAAAACAGTATATCAGCAGACAGAAAATCCAAAGAAACTATCTGTGAAACTGCTTTGTGATGTGTGGATTCATCTCACAGAGTTAAACCTTTCCTTAGATTTGGCACGTTGGAAACACACTTTTTGGAGAACCTGCAAAGGGATATTTGGAAACCCATTAGGGCCTATGGGGAAAAACAGAATATCCCAAGATAAAAACTACAAAGAAGCTTTCTGTGAAACTTCTTTCTGATGTTTGATTTCATCTCACAAAGTTCAGCCTTTCTTTTGATTCAGCAGGTGGAAACAGTCTTTTTGAAGTATCTGGAAAAGACATTTGGGAGTTCATTGAGGCTACTAAAGAAAAACTGAATATCCCCCAATAAAAACTAGAAAAAAGGTGTCTGGGAAACTGCTTTGTGATGTGTGGACTCATCTCAGAGACT
Organism: Homo sapiens; assembly: GCF_000001405.40. Taxonomy (NCBI): domain Eukaryota; kingdom Metazoa; phylum Chordata; class Mammalia; order Primates; family Hominidae; genus Homo; species Homo sapiens. The sequence goes on along the minus strand of NT_187383.1, from coordinate 517,974 downwards.
TAAACTTTTCTTTTGATTCAGCAGCTTGGGAAGACTTTTATCATAGAATCTGTGAAGGGACATTTCAGCACCCATTGGGTCCTATGGGGAAATATCAAATATCCCCAGATAAAAACTAGAAAGAAGCTATCTGCGAAATTTTTGTGATGTGTGGATTCATCTCACAATTTTAAATATTTCTTTTGATTCAGTAGGATGGAAACACTCTTTTTGGAGAATCTGTGAGGGAGCATTTGGGAGCCCATTGAGGCCACTGGGGAAAAACCAAATATCCCCAATTGAAAATTAGATAGAAGCTCTCTATGAAACTGCTTTGTGATGTGTGGATTCTTCTCACAGAGAAAAAAACTTTCTTTTGTTTCAACAGTTTGGAAACAGCCTTTGTTTAGTATCTGTGAAAAGAAATTTGGGACCCAATTGAAGCCTAATTGGAAAAACTGAATATCCCCAGATAAAAACTAGAATGAAGCTATATGTGAAACTACTTTGTGATATATGGATTCATCTCACAGAGTTAAACCTTTGTTTTGACTCAGCATGTTGGAAACACTCTTTTTGCAGAATCTGCGAAGGGACACTTGAATGTCCAATGAGGCCTATGTGGAAAAATTGAATATCCTTAGATAAAACTGGAGAGAAGCTACCTGTGAAACTGCTTGTAATGTGTGGATTTAACTTACAGCAGTAAATTTTTTTTTTATTCAGTAGGTTGGAAACATCCTTTTTGTAGAATCTGTGAAGGGACATTTGTGAGCCCATTTATGCCTGGGGTAAAAACGGAATATCCCCAGATAAAAACTAGAAGGAAGCTATCTGTGAAACTGCATTTTGATGTGTGGATTCATCTTACAGAGTTAATTCTTTCTTTGGATTCAGTGGGTGGAAAACATTCTTTTTGGAGAATATGAAATGGGACATTCAGGAGCACTTTGGGGTGTATGGGGAAAAACTGAATATCACCAGATAAAAACTACAAAGAAGGTATGTATGAAACTTCTTTGTGATTTGTGGATTCAACTGACAATGTTAAATCTTTCTTATGATTCCACAGGTTGGAAATACTTTTTTTGGAGAATCTGCGAAGGGACATTTGGGAGTCGTTTGAGGCCTATAGGGAGAAACCGAATATTTCCAGAAAAAAACTAGAAAGAAGCTATCTGTAAAACTGCTTTGTGTTGTGTGAACTCATGTGACAGAGTTTAAGTTTTCTTTTCATTCAGCAAGTTGCAAACACTCTTTTTGGAGAATCTGCGAAGGGACATTTGAAAGCCCATTGAGGCCTATGCAAAAAAATGGAATATTCCCAGATAAAAACTAGAAAGAAGCTATCTGTGAAACAGCTTTGTGATGCGTGGATTCATTTCATAGTGTTAAAACTTTCTTTTGATTCAGCAGGTTGGAAACAGTCTTTTTGTAGAATCTGCAAAGGGACATTGGGAGCCCATTGGAGCCTACTGAAACTGCTTTGAGATGTGTGGATTAATCTCACAGAGATAACTTTTTCTTCTTGTTCAGCAGGTTGGAAAAACCTATTTTGTAGAATCTGCAAGGGGATATTTGGATCCCTTTGAGGCCTATAGGGAAAAATCGAATATCCAAGATAAAAGCTACAAAGAAGCTATGTGTGAAACTTCTTTTTGACGTGTGGATTCAACTGGCAATATTAAATCTTTCTTATGATTCCACAGGTTGGAAATACTCCTTTTGGAGAATCTGCAAAGGGACATTTGGGATTCCTTTGAGGCCTATAGGGAGAAACCAAACATTTCCAAATAAAAACTAGAAAGAAGCTATCTGTGAAATGGCTTTGTGGTTTGTGAACTCACCTGACAGAATTTAAGTTTTCTTTTGATTCAGCAGGTTGAAAACACTCTTCTTGGAGAATCAGCAAAGGGACATTTGGGAGCCCATTGAGGCCTACTGAAACTTTTGTGTGATGTGTGGATTCATCTCACTGAGTTAAATTTTTCTTCTTATCCAGCAGGTTGGAAACACTTTTTTTGTAGAATCTGTAAAGGGACATTTGGATCCCTTTGAGGCCTATAGGGAAAAACAAAATATCCCCAAATAAAAACTACAAAGAAGCTATGTGTGAAACTTCTTTGTTATGTGTGGATTCAAATGACAATGGTAAATCTTTCTTATGTTTCTGCATGTTGAAAATACTTTTTGGAGAATCTGTGAAGGGACATTTCAGAGTCCTCTGAGGCCTATAGGGAGAAAGTGAATTGCTGAGACCAGCTCTGTTGGGGAGACCCTAACCCAGAGGCACTAAAGTAATTAAAGACAGGCACACAGAAATATAGAGGTGTGAAATGGGAAATCAGGGATCTCACTGCCTTCAGAGTTGAAAGCCCTGAACAGAGATTTACCCAAGTGTTTATTAACAGCAAGCCAGATATTAGCACTGTTTCTATAGATATTAAATTAACTAAAAGTATCCTTTATGGGAAATGAAGGGATGGGCTGAATTAAAGGAATGGGTTGGGCTAGTTAATTGCAGCAGGAGCATGTCCTTAAGGCACAGATCACTCATGCTATTGTTTGTGGCTTAAGAATACCTTTAAGCGGTTTTCTGCCCTGGGCAGGCCTGGTGTTCCTTTCCATCGTTCCTGTAAACACATAGCCTTCCAGCGTGGGCATTACGGCCCTCATGAACCTGTCACAGTGCTGCAGAGACTGTTTATGGCCAATTTGGGAGCCAGTTTATGGCCAGATTTTGGGTGGCTTGTTCCCAACAGCGAATATTTCCAGATACAAGCTAGAAAGAAGCTATTTGTGAAACTGCTTTGTGTTGTGTGAACTCATCTGACAGAGTTTAAGTATTCTTTTGATTCAGCAGGTTGGAAACACTGTTTTTGGAGAATCTGTGAAGAGACATTTGAAAACCCATTAATGCCTATGGAAAAAAACAGAATATCCCCAGATAAAACTAGAAAGAAGCTATCTGTGAAGCTGCTTTGTGATGTGTGGATTCCTTTCACAGATTTAAAAAATTCTTTTGATTCACCATGTTGGAAACACTTTATTTGGAGAATCTGCAAAGGGACATTTGGGAGCTTTTTGTAGCCTATGAGAAAAAAATGAATATCCCCAGACAAAAACTAAAAACAAGCTATCTGTGCTATCTGTGAAAGTACTTTGTGACATGTGGATTCATATGAAAGACAAAACTTTCTTATGATTCAGCAGGTTGGAAACAGTCTTTTTGGATAATCTGCAAAGGGACACTTGGGAGCCCATTGAGGCCTGTGGGGAAAAAACGAATATCCCCAAATAAAAACTAGAAAGTTGGTATCTATGAAACTTCTTTGCAATGTGTGGATTCCTCTCGCAGAGAGAAACCTTTCTTTTGATTCACCAGTTTGGATACACTCTTTCTGTGGAATCTGAGAAGGCTAATTTGGGTGTCAATTGAGGCCTAATGGGAAAACCTGAATATTCCCAGGTAAAAACTAGAATGAAGCTATCTTTGAAACTCCCTGAGATGTGAAAATTCATCTCATAAAGCTAAATCTTCCCTTTGATTCAGCAGTTTTGGAGCATTATTTTTGTAGAATCTGTGAAGGGATGTTTAGGAACCTCTTGAGGCCTATGGGGAAAACAGAATATCCCCAGATAAAAGCTAGAAAGAAACGGTCTGTTTTCTACATACGGCTAGCCAGTTTTCCCAGCACCATTTATTAAATAGGGAATCGTTTCCCCATTGCTTCTTTTTCTCAGGTTTGTCAAAGATCAGACAGTTGTAGATATGCAGTGTTATTTCTGAGGGCTCTGTTCTGTTCCATTGATCTATATCTCTGTTTTAGTACCAGTACCATGCTGTTTTGGTAACTGTAGCCTTGTAGTATAGTTTGAAGTCAGGTAGTGTGATGCCTCCAGCTTTGTTCTTTTGGCTCAGGATTGACTTGGCGATGCGGGCTCTTTTTTAGTTCCATATGAACTTTAGTTTTTCCAATCCTGTGAAGAAAGGCATTGGTAGCTTGATGGGGATGGCATTGAAACTGTAAATTACCTTGGGCAGTATGGCCATTTTCACGATATTGATTCTTCCTACTCATGAGCATGGAATGTTCTTCCATCTGTTTGTATCCTCTTTTATTTCCTGAAAGCTGAAAGTGGATCCCTTCCTTACACCTTATACAAAATTCAATTCAACATGGATTAAAGACTTAAACGTTTGACCTAAAACCATAAAAATCCTAGAAGAAAACCTAGGCATTACCATTCAGGACATAGGCATGGGCAACGACTTCATGTCTAAAACACCAAAAGCAATGGCAACAAAAGACAAAATTGACAAATGGGATCTAATTAAACTAAAGAGCTTCTGCACAGCAAAAGAAACTACCATCAGAGTGAACAGGCAACCTACAAAATGGGAGAAAATTTTCACAACCTACTCATCTGACAAAGGGCTAATATCCAGAATCTACAATGAACTCAAGCAAATTTTCAAGAAAAAACAAACAACCCCATCAAAAAGTGGGCGAAGGACATGAACAGACACTTCTCAAAAGAAGACATTTATGCAGCCAAAAAACACATGAAAAAATGCTCATCATCACTGGCCATCAGAGAAATGCAAATCAAAACCACAATGAGATACCATCTCACACCAGTTAGAATGGCAATCATTAAAAAGTCAGGAAACAACCGGTGCTGGAGAGGATGTGGAGAAACAGGAACACTTTTACACTGTTGGTGGGACGGTAAAGTAGTTCAACCATTGTGGAAGTCAGTGTGGCGATTCCTCAGGGATCTAGAACTAGAAATACCATTTGACCCAGCCATCCTATTACTGGGTATATACCCAAAGGACTATAAATCATGCTGCTATAAAGACAAATGCACACTTATGTTTATTGCGGCATTATTCAACCTTTGTAGGGACATGGATGAAATTAGAAATCATCATTCTCAGTAAACTATCGCAAGAACAAAAAACCAAACACCGCATATTCTCACTCATAGGTGAGAATTGAACAATGAGATCACATGGACACAGGAAGGGGAATATCACACTCTGGGGACTGTTGTGGGGTGGGGGGAGGGGGAGGGATAGAATTGGGAGATATACCTAATGCTAGATGACGAGTTAGTGGGTGCAGCGCACCAGCATGGCACATGTATACATATGTGACTAACCTGCACAATGTGCACATGTACCCTAAAACTTAAAGTATAATAAAAAAACAGACCCATGGACCAAGAAGAATAAGTAGGAGGTAGAGGAAAGCCTAGAGGTATAGAAGACCAAATCGATGATGGCATGGAGGTGCAGATAAGGTTACTATGTGAAGGATAATTTGGTGAGATTAACCTCGTAAAATGGTGAAGTGATTCTTTGGATGGTAATAATTGCATGAAGTAGAAAAGAATTCATTTGCTTTGGAAGAAAAAGCCTTAGATTCTAGCTTCTTACCTGCCATTTTTACTCTGTATCTTGGGAACAAATCACCTCACCCTTCTTGGAATACCTGTTGGTTTATCTAAATAGCCAGCCTCCTGAGGGATTTGTTTCTTCTGCCATTCAAACTGTATGTTTGCACAAAGACCTATTATTAGAAGGTTTGACTCCATCCTTTAACCACTGGTTACATTGATTGGTACAGGGATGGTCATCCAACCCAAACTTTGCTAAACAACAGAGCCCTTTCTAGGGCATTTATTTTCAAATTGTATCAAAACGAGAATTTTCCCTTTTCTTGTTCTGGGAATTATTAGATGGGATACTAGAGAGCTGTCAGCTCCTACAATTTTATTTTATTTTTTTACAATGTTGAGGTAGCTGTTCTGCAATGAGAGAGAGTAAAGACAATATACCAAAAAAAGCATAGACAAGAGATATAGAGGGCTATTGGGAGTAAGGTCCCTGAATTTTGTTGACACTTAATTTTATCTACTTCTTCCCTGTGGTTTGCCTGTCCAGAATTCTGTTTGATTCTGTTATTTTTCCAATGAATTGTCTACTTTGCCTTGGTCAGCTTAAGTTGTGATTCTGTCCCTTGTAATCTAAAGAATCCCAGTGAACACATTTCCAAAGCAATTTCCTTATGTCTAGGAATGTGTAGGCGTGAGACACAATTAGTTATTATTATTATTGAAATAGAACAGTCGGTAGTTTGAATTCACCTGAATGTGATATTTCCAACTGCAGCCTTTGAGAAGATTGACTGTATTAGAGGTGCTAGGGTGAGATTTACTGTACTTTTAGATGCTATTTTTCTAGAAGATCCAAGAGCATGTGCATTCTGCTTTGAACCAGTAATCTCTGTCTTAAAAAAATTCCATTCCAAAGATTGTGTGTGTGTGCATTTGTGTGTGTGTGTGTGTGTATAGAAAATGTGACACTGGGCAACAATGTAATTATTAGCTCATTAAAAGTAATCTTCAAAGAAAAAAAAGAAAGAAATGGTATGTGAAACTGCTTCATAATGTGAGCATTCATCTCATAAAATTAAACATTTCTTTTGATTCAGCAGGTTGTAATGACTCTTTTTGTAGTATCTGTGAAGGGACATTTGGGAGACCATTGAGACCTATGGCAAAAAAAGCGAATTTCCCCAGATAAAAACTACAAGGAAGTTAATTGTGAAACTGCTTTGTGATGTGTGGATTAATCTCACAGAGTTAAACCTTTCTTTTGATTCAGCTTCTTGGAAACACACTTTTTGTAGAATCTGCAAAGGGACATTTGGGAGCCAATTGAGGCCTATGGGGAAAACAAAATATCTCCAGATAAAAACTAGAAAGAAGATATCTCTGATACTGTTTTGTGATATGTGGAGCACCTCACACAGTTTAACCTTTCTTTTGCTCCAGCAGCTGGGAAACACTCTTTCTGGAGAATCTGAGAAGGGACAATTGGGAGCCCATTGAGGCCCAAAGGGAAAAACTGAATATCCCCAGACAAAAACGAGAATGAAATTATCAGTGAAACTGATCTGTGATATGTGGATTCATCTCATAGAGTGAAAACTTTCTTTTGATTCAGTAGGCCAGAAATACTCTTTGTAGAATCATCAAAGGGGCACTTGAGAGCCCATCAAGGCTTTTGAGGGAAAAGTGAATAAACTCAGATAAAAACTAGAAATAAGCTATCTGTGAAACTCCTTTGTGATGTTGGGGTTCCTCTCATAAAGCTAAATATTTCCCTGGATTCAGCAGATTGGAAACCCTCTTTTTGTAAAAACTGTGAAGGGAGATTTGGGAGCCCAGACACGCCTAGCGGAAAAACTGAATATCCCAAGATAAAAACCAGAAAGAACCTATCTGTGAAAATGCTTTGCAATGCGTGGATTCATCACACAGAGTTTAATTTGTTCTTTGATTCAGCAGGTTGGAAACACTATTTTGCAGAAATCATGAGAGGACACTTTGCCAGTCAAAGAGGCCTATGGGAAAAATCAAATATCCCAAGATAAAAACTAGAAAAAAGCTTTCTCTGAAACTGCTTTCTAATGTTTGGATACATCTCACAAAGTTAAACATTTCTTTAGATTCAACAGGTGAGAAACAGTTTTTTGAAGAATCTGCAAATGGACATTTGAGAGCCCATTAAGGCCTATGGGGAAAAATAAAATATCCCCAGATACAAACTAGAAAGAAGCTCTCTGTGAAACTGCTTTGTGATGTGTGGATTCATCTCACAGACTTAAACCTTTAAAATTTTTTGATTCATAAGGTTGAAACACTCTTTTCATAGAATCTGCAAAGGGACAATAAAGAGCCCATTGGAACCTGAGGACAAAAAACAGACTATCCCCAGATAAAAACTAGAAAGCAACTGTCTGTGAGACTGCTTTGTGATGTGTGCATTCATCTCACAGATTGAAACTTTCTTTTGATTCAGCAGGTTGGAAACTCTTTTCGGGGAATTTGTGAAGAAACATTTGGGAGCTTATTGAGGCCTATGGAAAAACAATGGCTATCTCCAGATAAACACTAGAAAGAAGCTATCAGTGAAATTGTATTGTAATATGTGGATTCATCTTACCAAGTTATATCATTGTTTTGATTCAGCAGGTTGCAGAAACTTTTTTAAAAGAACCTGTGAAGGACCTTTTGAGAGCCCAATGAGAACTGTGGGGAAAACCTCATATCCCCGGATAAAATCTAGAAAGAAGCTATCTGTGAAACTGCTTTGTAATGTGTGGATTCATCTCACAGAGGTAAACCTTTATTTTGATTGAGCAGGTTAGAACCACACTTTTTGGAGAATCAGTGTGGGGGCATTTTGGAGTCATTGAGGCCTATCAGGAAATACAAAATATCCCCAGATAAAAATTAGAGAAAAGCTATCTGTGAAACTGCTTTGTGATGTGTGGATTTATATCACAGAGTTGAACCCTTCTTTTGATTCAGCTCTTTGAAACAACTCTTTTAGAGAATATGCAGAGGGATATTTGGGAGCCAATTGTGGCCCATGGGGAAAAACTGAATATTCCCAGATTAAAACTAGAAAGAAGCTTTCTGTGAAACTACTTTGTGATGTGTGGATTCATCTTACTGAGTTAAACATTTCCTTTGATTCAGCTGGTTGGAGCCACTATTTTAGGAGAATCTGTGAAGGGACGTTTAGGAGCCCATTGAGGTCTATGGGGAGAAACAAAATATCCCCAGATAAAAACTGAAAACAATCTATCTGTGAAACTGTTCTGTTATGTGTGGATTCAAATCACAGAGGTACACCTATTTTTGATTCAGCTGGTTGGAAACATTCTCTTTGGAGAATGTGGGAAAGGATATTTGGGAGCCGACTGTGACCTACAGGGAAAAACTGAATATCCCCAGATTAAATTGAAAAACAAGCTATCTGTGAAACTGCTTTGTGATGTGTGGATTCATCTCACATAGGTAAAACTTTATTTTGATTCAAGAGGTTGGAACCTCTTTTTTTGTAGAAACTGTGAAGGGACATTTGGGAACACATTGACGCCTATGTGGAAAAAGTGAACATCCCCAGATAATAAGTAGAAAGGAGCTACCTGTGACACTGCTTTGCGATGTGTGGGTTCTTCTCGCAGAGTTAAACAGTTCTTTGGATTCAGCACGCTGAAAGCACCATTTTTGGATTATCTGGGAAAGGACATTTGGAAGTCCATTGAGGCCCATGGGAAAAATAGAATATCCTGATAAAAACTTCAAAGAAGTTATCTGTGAAACTGCTTTTAAGGTGTCAATTCATTTCACTGAGTTGAATCTTTCTTTTGACACAGCAGGTTGGGTAGCCTCTGATTGGAGAATCTGTGAAGGGACATTTGGGAACCCATTGAGACCTATGGGGAAAAACAAAATAACCCCAAACAAAAACTAGAAATAAGCTATCTGTGAAATGGCTTTGTTATGGGTGGATTCATCTCACAGAGTTAAACCTTTCTTTTGATTCAGCAGGTTGGAGACACTCTTTTTAAAGAATCAGCAAAAAGATATTTTGGAGCCCTTTTGAAGCATTTGGGGAAAACAAAATATCCCCAGATAAAAACTAGAAAGAAGCTACTTGTGAAACTGCTTTGTGTTGTGTAGATTCATATCACAATGTTAAACCTTTCAATTCAGCAGGTTAGAAACACTTATTGGGGAATCTGTGAAGGGACATTTGGGAACCTCTTGAGGCCTATGGGAAAAAAACAAATATCGTTAGATAAATTCTAGAAAGAATGTGTCTGTGAAACTGCTTTGTTAAGAGTGGATTCATCTCACAGTGTTAAACCTTTCTTTTGATTCAGAAGGTTGGAAAAACTCTCATTGGATAATCTGCACAGGGACATTTTGTAGCCCATTGAGGCCTACAGTGGAAAACAGAATATTCCCAGCTAAAAACTAGAAAGAAGCTGTCTGTGAAACTGCTTTTTAAATTGTGGATTCATCTCACAGTGTTAAACCTTTCTTTTGATTCAGCAGGATGGAAACACTCTTTGGAAAATCTGCGAAGGGATATTTCAGAGCCTATTGATGTCTACAGGGAAAAACGAATATCTCCAGATACAAACTAGAAAGAACCCATTTTGCAGAGATTTATCCCTGCTTTATGAGATAGGGATTCATTTAACAGTGTAAACTTTTCTTTTGATCTAGCTGGTAGGAAACACTCTTTTTGGGTAATCTGTGAAGGGATATTTAGAAGTCCATTGTGGGCTATGGGGAAAAACTGAATATACCCAGATAAAAACTAGACAGAACCTAGCTCTGAAACTGCTTTGTGATATGTGGATTCATCTCACAAAATTAAACTTTTCTTCAGACACAGCTTGTTGAAAACACTTTTTGAAGAATCTGCCTAGGAACATTTGGGAACCCCTGAAGGCCTAAGGAAAAAAACAGAATATTCCCAGATAAGAACTAGAAAGAACCTATCTCTGAAACTGCATTGTGATGTGTGGATTCATCTCATGAACTTAAGCATTTCTTTTGATTCAGGAGTTTGGAAACATTCTTTTTGCACAATCTGTAAAGGGACATTTGAGAGCTCCTGGAGGGCTATGAGGAAAAACAAAATGTCCCTACATAAAAACTGGATAGAAGCTAACTGTCAAAATGCTTTGTGATAAGTGGATTCACCTTACAAAGTTAAACATTTCTTTTGATTAATCAGGTTGGAAACATGCTTTTTGGAGACTATGTGAAGGGACATTTGGGGGCCCATTAGGGCTTATATGGCAAAACCAAATATCCCCAGTTAAAAACTAGAAAGAACTTATCGGTTAAACTGCTTGTGAAGTGTGGATTCATTCCACAGAGTTAAACTGTTCTATGATTCAGCAGACTGGGAAACCTTTTTTGCAGAATGTGCAAAAAGACCTTTTGGAGACCATTAAGGCCTAAGGGGCAAAACCGAATATCCCAAGAAAAAACTAGAAGGAAGCAATCTGTGAAACTGCTTTCTGATGTGTGGATTCATCTCACAGAGTTAAAACTTTCTTTTGATTTAGAAGGCTGGAAACACTTTTTTTGAAAAATCATGTGAAGGGACTGTTTGGAGCCCATTGAGTCCTAGGGGGAAAAATCTGAATACCCCAGAAAAAAATAGAAAGAAATTATCAGTGAATCTGCTTTGTTATGTGTGGATTCATCTTACAGAGTTAAGCCTTTCTATTGATTCAGCCGCTTGGAAACACATTTTCCTTTTTAAGAATCTGTGAAGGGATATTTGGGAGCCCATTGAGCCCATTGAGGTAAAACTGAATATCTCCAGATAAAAACTTGAAAGCAGCTGTCTCTGAAATTGCTTTGAGATGTGTGGATACATCTCACAGAGTTAAACCTTTTTTTTTTTTTTTTGATTCAGCAGGTTGGAAAACCTCTTTTTAGAGAATCTGCAAAAAGACATTTGGGAGCATATTAAGGCCTAAGGGGAAAAACTGAGTATTCCAAGTTAAAAACTACAAAGAAATTATCTGTGAAACTGCTTTTGATGTGTGGATTCATATCAGAAACTTGAACTTTTCTTTTGATTCTGCAGATTGGAAGCACTCTTTTTGGAGAATCTGCGAAGAGACATTTGGGAGCCCTTCGAGGCCTATGGAGAAAAATTGAATACCCCCAGATAAAAACTAGCAAAAAGCTCTTTGAAACTGCTTGGTGATGTGTGGATTTATCTCACAGACATAAACTTGTTTTTTTGATTCAGTGTTTTGGAAAAACTCTTTTTGGAGAATCTGTGAAGGGACATTCTGAGGCCTATGGAAATAAGCAAAATATCCCAGAAAACAAATAGAAACTAGCCATCTAGTGAAACTGCTTCGTGATATGTGGATTCATTGCACAGAGTAAAACCTCTCTTTTCATTCAGCAGGTTGGAAACACTTTTTTGGAGAATCTGCAAAGGGACACTTTGAAGCCCATTGAAATCTACAGCGAAAAACTGAATATCTCCAATAAAAGTTAGAAAAAAGCTTTCTGAGAAACAGTTTGTGATGTGTGGATTCATCATAAACAGCTAAAACTTTCTTTTCATTCAGAAGGTTGAAAACACTCTTTTTGGGGAATCTGTGAAAGGACATTTGGGAGCCCATTGAGGTCTATGGAGAAAAACCAAATATCCCCAGATAAAATTAGAAAGAAGCTATCTGTGAAATTACTTTGTGATGTATGGATTCATCTTCCAAAGTTAAAACTGTATTTTGATTAAGCAGGTTGGAAACACTCTTTTGGAGGATATGTGAGGTGATATTTGGGAGCGCTTTGAGGATCACAGGAAAAAACAAATATTCCTATATAAAAACTAGAAAGAATCTATCTATGAAACTGCTTTGTGATGTGCAGATCCATCTCACAGAGGTAAACCTTTCTTTTGATTCAGCAGGTTTTAAACAGTAGTTTTGGAGTGTCTGCAAAGAGACATTTGGAAGCTTTTGGGGGCCTATAAAAAATTGAATTTCCCCACATAAAAACTACAAAAAAGCTATCTGTGAAACTACTTTGTGATGTGTGGATTCATCTCACAGAGATAAACATTTCCTCTCATTCAGCAGGTTGGAAACACTCTTTTCAAAGTATCTGCAAAATGATATTTCAAAACCCATTGAGGCCTTGGGGGAAAAACAGAATGTCCCCAGATAAAAACTACAAAGAAGCTATCTGTGAAACTGCTTTGTGATGTGTGGATTCTTTGCACAGATTTAAATTTTTGTCTTGATTCAGCAGCATGGAAACATTTCTTTTGGAGAATCAGCAAAGGGACATTTGAGAGCTTATTGAGGCCTAGGTGGTAAATTGAATATCCCCCAATAAAAACTAGAAGCAATCTGTGAAACTGCATTGGGATGTCTGGAGTCATCTCACAGAGTTAAATCTTTGTTTTGATTCAGCAGGTTTGAAACACTCTTTTTGCAGTATCTGAGAAGGGACATTTTGAAGCCCTTAGAGGCCTATGGTGCAAAACAGAATAGTCCATGAATAAAACTAGAAGAAGCTATTTGAGCAACTGCTTCATAATGAGTGGATTCATCTCACAAAGTTAAACTTTTTTTTGATTCAGCAGATTGGAAACACTCTTTTCAGAAAATCTGTGAGCCCACAAGGGCCTGAGGGGAAAAATCAAATATCCCCAGATACAAAGCGGAAAGAAACTATCTGTGAAACTGCTTTTTGATGTGTTGATTCCTCTCACAGAATTAAACCTTTCTTTTTATTTAGCATGGTGGAAACACTCTTTTTGGGGACTCTGGGAATGCACATTTGGGAGCCCATTGAAGCCCATGGGAAGAAAATGAGTATCCCCAGAAAAAATAAATTAGAAAAAAGCTAGCTGCAAAACTGCTTTGTAATGTGTGGATTCATCTCACAGAGTTAAATCATCCTTTTTATTCAGCAGGTTATAAACACTCGTTTTGGAGAATCTGCAAAGGGACATTTGTGAGCCAGTTGAGGCCTACAGAAAAAATCCAAATATCCCCAGAAAAAAAGTAGAAAGAATCTTTGTGAAACTGGTTTTTGATGTGTGGACTCTACTCACAGAGTTAAATTATTCTTTTGATTCAGCATGTTGGAAAATCTTTTTGGAGAATTTGCAAAGCAACATTTTGAAGCCAATTGAGGCAGAAAGGGAAAAACCAAATATCCATAGATAAAAACCAGAAAGAAGGTATCCGTGAAACTGTTTTATTATGTGTGGATTTATCTCACAAAGATAAACCTTTCTCTTGATTCTGCAGGTTGGAAACACTCTTTTTGTAAAATCTAAGAAAAGACATTTGGGAACCCATTGAGGTCTAAGGTGTAAAAGAGAATAACCCCAGATAAAAACTAGAGAGAAGTTATTTTTGAAATTGCTTTGTGATGCGTGGATTCATCTCACAGAGTTAAAGGTTTTTTTTTCAGCAGGTTGGAAACGCTCTTTTTGGACAATCTGCAAGAGGACATTTTGTAGCCCATTGTGGCCTATGAAGAAAAATTGAATATCCCAGATAAAAATTAGGAAGATTCTATCTGTGAAACTGGTTTGTGAGGTTTGGATTCATCTCACAGAGTTGAAACTTTCTTTTAATCCATAAGTTTGAGAACACTCTTTTTTTAGGATATGTGAAAGGACATTTGTGACACCTTTGAGGCTTATAAGGAAAAACTTAATATATCCAGATAAAAACTATAAAGAAGCTATCAGTGAAATGCTTTATGAGGTGTAGATTCATCTCACAGAGCTAAATCTTTCTTTTCAGGCAGTATGTTGGAAAAATTCTTTTTGTAGGATCTGCAAAAAGACATTTTGGAGCTCATTGAGGCCTATGGGAAAAAAATTAATATACCAGACATAAACTAGAGAGACGTTAACTGTGAAGTTGTCTTGTGATATGTGGATTCATCCCACAGAGTTAAACATTTCTGTTGATTCAGCCAGTTGGAAACACTCTTTTTGGAGAATCTGTTATGGGACATTTGGGAGCCCATAAGGCCTATGGGGGAAAAACCGAATATCCCCAGATAAAAACTAGAAAGGAGCTATCTGTGAAATTTTTTTTCATCTAAATTCATCTCACAGAGTTAATCCTTGCTTTTGATTCAGCTGGTTGGAAGTACTCTTTTTGGTGAATCTGCAAAGGGACATTTCGGAGCCCATTGAGGCCTATGGGGAAAAAAACGAATATCTGCAGATAAAAACTAAAAAAAAAAAAAGCTATCTGTGAAACTGTTTTGTGATTTGTGAATTTATCTCACAGAGATAAACTGTTTTCTTGATTCAGCAGGTTGAAAACCCTCCTTTTGGAGAATCTTCAAGGGGACAACTGAGAGATTATTGATGACTTAAAAAATGTATATCCCCAGATAAAAACTAGAAATAAGCTATCTGTGAAACTGCTTTGTGACGCGTGGATTCATCTTACAGAGTTAAACTTTTCTCTTGATTCTGCAGGTTTCAAACACTCTAGAATCTCTGATGAAACATTTGGGACCTTTTTGGGGCCTATAAGGGAAAACTGAATATCCCAAAATAAAAACTAGAAAGAACATCTCTGTGAAACTGCTTTGTAATGCATGGATTTATCTCATAGAGTTAAGCCTTTCCTTTGATTCAGCAGGTTGGAAAAACACTTTTTGTAGAATCTGTGAGGGAACATTTTTGAGCATATAGAGGCCTAGAGGAAGAAAAGAATATCCTCAGATGAAAACTAGAAAAAAACAATGTGTAAAACTGCTTTGAGATGTGTGGATTCATCTCACAGAGCTAAACCTGCATTTGATTCTGCATATTGGAAACACTTTTTTTGAAGGATCTGCAAAGGGACATTTGGGAGCCCTTTGAGGCCTATGAAGCAAAACTGAATATCCTTAGGTAAAAAGAACAAAGAAGCTATCTGTGAAACTGCTTTGTGGTGTGTGGAACACATCTGGGAGCACATTGAGGCATATGGGGAAAAACTGAATATGCCCATATAAAAACTAGAAAGAAGTTATCTGTGATCTACTTTGGGATGTGTGGATTTATCTCACAGAGTTCAATTTTTCTTTTGTCTTAGCAGGTTGGAAACACTCCTTTTGGAGAATCTGCAAAGAGATATTTGGGAGCCCTTTATAACCTATGGGTGAAAATCTAATATCCCAAGAAAAAAACGAAAATAAGTCTATCTGTGAAACTGCTTTTTGATGTGTGGATTCATCTCACAGAGTTAAAACTTTCTCTTGATTCAGCAGGTTGGAAAAGCTCCTTTTGGAGAATCTGCAAAGGAACAATTTAGAGCCCATTGAGGCCTACAGGGAAAAATCCAATATCCTCAGATATAAACTAGAAAGAAGCAATTTGTGAAAATGCTATGTGATGTGTGGATTCATCTCGCAGAGTTACAGCTTTATTTCGATTGAGCAAGTTGGAAAAACTCTTTTTGGAGAAACTGCAAAGAGACATTTGGGAGCCCATGGAGCCCTATAAGGAAAAACAGAATATCCAAAGATAAAAACTAGAAAGAATGTATCTTTGAAACTTCTTTGTGATGTGTGGACTCATTTCACACAGGTAAAGCTTTCTTTTGATTCAGCATGTTGGAAACACACTTTTTGTGGAATCTGCCAATGGACATTTTGGAGCCCAATAAGGCCTATGGGGAAAAATTGAATATCTCCAGATAAAATCTAGAAATAAGCTATCTGTGAAACTGCTTTTGGAGTGTGGGTTCATCACACAGAGTTAAACCTCTCTTTTGATTCACCAGTTTGGAAACACTGTTTTTGTAGTATTTGCGAAGGGACATTTTGGAGTCCAGTTGAGGCCTAGGCAGAAAAATGAAATACCCACAGGTAAAAACTAGAAAGAAGCTATCTGTGAAACTGCTTTGTGATGTGTGGATTTATCTCACAGAGTTAAAATGTTCTTTTTATTCAGCAGGTTGAAAACACTTTTTTTGTAGAATCTATGAAGGGACATTTGGTAGCCAATGGAGGCCTATGGGGAAAAACAGAATATCCCCAGATAAAAGCTAGAAAAAAAGCTATCTTTGAAACTGCTTTTTGAGGTGTGCATTCATCTCACAGAGTTAAACCTTTCATTTTATTCAAAAGGTTTGAAATACTCTTTTGGGAAAATCTACAAAGGGACATTTAGGAGCCCATTGAAATCTAGTGGAAAAGTCAAATATCCCCAGATATAAACTAGAAAGAAGCTATCTGTGAAACAGTTTTGTCATGTGTGGATTCATCTTACAAAGTTAAATCTTTCTTTTCTACAGTAGGTTGGAAACACTCTTTGTAGAATCTGCAAAGAGACATTTAGGAGCTCATTGAGGTCTATGGGGAGAAAACTAATATCCAGATAAAAACTAGAAAGAAGCTATCTTTGAAACTCCTTTGTGATGTGTGGATTCATCTCACAGTGTTAAACCTTTGTTTTGATTCAGAAGATTGGAAATACTATTTTTGTAGGGTCTGCAAAGTGAAATTTGAAGCCCATTTTCATCTAAGGGGAAAAAGCAAATATCGACAGATAAAAACTAGAAAGAAGCTATCTATGAAACTCCTTTGTGAGGTATGAATTCATCTCACAGTGTTAAACCTTTCTTTTGATTCAGCAGATCAGAAACACTTTTTTTGTAGTATCTGTGAAGGGACATTTCAGAGCCCATTGAGGCCTATGGGGAAAAACAGAATGTCCGCAGATAAAAACTAGAAAGAAGCTATCTGTGAAACTGCTTTGTCATGTGTGGATTCGCCTCACAGAGTAAAACCTTTCCTTTAATTCAGTAGGTTAAAAACCCTATTTTTGGAGAATCTGCGAAGGGACATTTGGTAGTCAATTGATGTGAATGGGGAACAACTGAATATCATCAGATAAAATCAAGAAAGAAGATATCACTTCCTTGTGATGTGTGGATTCAACTCACGGAGTTAAGCCTTTGTTTTTAATCAGCAGGTTGGAAACACTGTTTTTGGAGAATCTGCAACATGATGTTTTGAGGCCCATTTAGGCCTTGTGGAAAAATCGAATATCCCCACATAAAAACTAGATAGAAGGTATATGTGAAACTGCTTTTTGATGGGTAGATTCATCCAAGTGATTTAAATATTTCTTTTGATTCAACGGATTGGAAACACTGAAACGTTTGGGAGCCCTTTGAAGCCTATGTGGAAACATCAAATTTCTTCACATAAACACTAGAAAGAAGCTATCTCTGAAACTGCTTTGGGATATGTGGATTCATCTCCCAGAGTTAAAACTTTCTTTTGATTCAGCAGGTTGGAAACACTCTTTTTGGGGAATCTGTGAAGGGACATTTGTGAGCCATTTTAGGCCAAAGGCAAAAAAAAAAAAATCCACAGATTAAAACTAGAAAGAAGCTATCTGTGAAACTGCTTTGTCATGTGAGGACTCATCTCACCAAATAAAACCTTTGTTTTGATTCAGCAGGTTTGAAACACTCTTTTTGTAAGATCTTAAGGGACATTTGGGAGCCCACTGAAGTCTATGTGAAATAAGCAAATATCCCCAGAAAAAAAAAAAAAAAAAAAACAGAAAAAGGCTATCTTTGAAACTGCCTTGTAATATGTGGTTTTATCTTACAGTGTTAAACGTTTATTTTGATTCAGTAGGTTGGAAACACTGTTACTGCAGAACCTGCAATAGGCCATTTAGGAGCCCAATAAGGCTGATGTGTCAAAATTGAATATCCCCAAACAAAAAAAGAAGAGAAGCTATTTGTGAAACTGCTTTTTGATGCATGGATTTATCACACAGAACTAAACATTTCTGTTGGTCCAACAGGTTGGCAACAGTCTTTGTGGAGAATCTGTGAAGGGATATTTTGTAGCCCATTGTGGCCTCTTGGGTGAAACAGAATATCTCCAGATAAAAAGAACAAAGACAAATTCTTTGAAACAGCTTTCTGGTGTGTGGATTCATCTCACAGAGTCAAACCTTTATTTTGATTCAGCATGTTGTAAACACTCTTTTTGGAGAACCTGGGAAGGGAGGTTTGGAAGCCTAAAGAGGCCTATGGGGAAAAACGGAATATCCAAAGATAAAAACTAGAAAGAAGCTATCTGATAAGCTGCTTTGTAATGTGTGGATTTATCTCACAGAGTTAAAAGTTTGTTTTGAGTCAGCAAGTTGGAACCACTGTTTTTGGAAATCTATGAAGGGACATTTGGGAGCCCTTTGAGGCCTATGGAGAAAAATCAAATATCCTCAGATAAAAACTAGAAAGAAGCTATCTCTGAAACTGCTTCATGATGTGTGGATTCAGCTCCCAGAGTTAAACCTTCCTTTTGAATCAGCAGGTTGCAAACACTCTTTTTGGAAAATCTGTGAAGGGAAATTTGGGAGCACATTGAGGCCTATGATGAAAAACTGAATATGGCCAGATAAAAACTAGAAAGAAGCTATCTGTGAAACTGATTTTGGATGTGTGGCTTCATCTCAGAGAGTTAAACTTTTCTTTTGATTCAGCAGGTTGGAAACACTCTTTTTGAAGCATCTGTGAAGGGATATTTGGAATCCAATTGAGGACTATGGGGAAAAAACAAATATCCCCAGATCAAAACAAGAAAGAAGCTTTCTGTGAACCTACTCGTGATGGGTGGATGCAACTCACAGACTTAAACTTTCTTAGGATTCAGTAGGTTGAAAACACTCTTTCTGAGAATCTGCAAAGGGATGTTTAAAAGCCCTTTGAGGCCTATGGTAAAAACAGAAAATCTCCAGATAAAAACTAGAAGGAAGCTATCTGTGAAACTGGCTTGTGATATGTGCATTCAAGTCACAGAGTTAAACCTTTCTTTTGATTCAGCAGGTTGGAAACACATTATTGGAGAATCTGCAAAGGGATATTTGGGAGCTGATTAAGTCTATGTGGAAAAATTGAATGTCCCCAGGAAAACAACAGAAATGAGCTATCTCTGAAACCGCTTTGTGATGTGTAGATTTGTCTCACAAAGTTAGATATTTCTTTTGATTCAGCAAGTTGGAAACACTTTCTGGAGATTCTGCAAAGGGACATAAGGGAGCCCAATGAGGCCTCTGGGGAAAAAGCGATAATCCCCAATGAAAACTAGAAAGAAGCTATCTGTGAAACTGCTTTGTGATATGTGGATTCAGCACAGAGTTAAACGTTTTTTTTTTTTTCCCTCACCCTGTTGGAAACACTGTTTTTGGAGAATCTGTGAAGGGACATTTGAGGAGTATGGGGAAAAACAGAGTATTTCCAGATTAAAAACTAGAAAGAAGCTATCTGTGAAACTGCTTTACAATATGTGGATTCATCTCACAGAGATAAGCTTTTCTTTTTTTTTTTTTCTTATACTTTAAGTCTTAGGGTACATGTGCACAATGTGCAGGTTAGTTACATATGTACACATGTGCCATGTTGGTGTGCTGCACCCATTAATTCGTCATTTAACATTAGGTATATCTCCTAATGCTATCCCTCCCCCCTACCCCCACCTCACAATAGGCCCCTGTGTGTGATATTCCCCTTCCTGTGTCCATGTGTTCTTGTTGTTCAATTCTCACCTGTGAGTGAGAACATGTGGTGGTTGGTTTTTTGTCCTTGTGATAGTTTGCTGAGAATGGTGGTTTCCAGCTTCATCCATGTCCCTGCAAAGGAGAATGAACTTATCATTTTTTATGGCTGCATAGTATTCCATGGTGTATATGTGCCACATTTTCTTAATCCAGTCTATCATTATTGGACATTGGGCTTGGTTCCAAGTCTTTGCTATTGTGAACAGTGTTGCAATAAACATACGTGTGCATGTGTCTTTATAGCAGCATGATTTATAATCCTTTGGGTATATACCCAGTAATGGGATGGCTGGGTCAAATGGTATTTCTAGTTCTAGATCCCTGAGGAATCGCCACACTGACTTCCACAATGGTTGAAATCGTTTGCAGTCCCTCCAACAGTGTAAAAGTGTTCCTATTTCTCCACAACCTCTCCAGCATCTGTTGTTTCCCGACTTTTTAATGATTGCCATTCTAACTGGTGTGAGATGGTATCTCATTGTGGTTTTGATTTGCATTTCTCTGATGGCCAGTGATGATGAGCATTTTTCATGTGTCTTTTGGCTGCATACATGTCTTCTTTTGAGAAGTGTCTGTTCATATCCTTCACCCACTTGTTAATGGGGTTTGTTTTTTTCTTGTAAATTTGTTTAAGTTCATTGTAGATTCTGGATATTAGCCCTTTGTCAGATGAGTAGATTGCAAAAATTTTCTCCCATTCTGTAGGTTGCCTGTTCACTCTAATGGTAGTTTATTTTGCTGTGCAGAAGCTCTTTAGTTTAATTAGATCCCATTTGTCAGTTTTGGCTTTTGTTGTCATTGCTTTTATTGTTTTAGACATGAAGTCCTTGCCCATGCCTATATCCTGAATGGTATTGCCTAGGTTTTCTTCTAGGGTTTTTATGGTTTTAGGTCTAACAATTGCTTCACAGAGAATAAAATACCTAGGAATCTAACTTACAAGGGATTTGAAGGAACTCTTCAAGGAGAACTACAAACTACTGCTCAATGAAATAAGAGAGGATACAAACAAATGGAAGAACATTCCATGCTTATGGGTGGGAAGAATCAATATTTTGAAAATGGCCATACTGCTGAAGGTAATTTATAGATTCAGTGCCAACCCCATCAAGCTACCAATGACTTTCTTCACGGAATTGGAAAAAACTACTTTAAAGTTCACATGGAACCAATAAAGAGCCCACATTGCCAAGTCAATCCATAGCCAAAAGAACAAAGCTGGAGGCATCATGCAACCTGACTTCAAACTATACTACAAGGCTACAGTAACCAGAACAGCATGGTACTGGTACCAAAACAGAGATATAGACCAATGGAGCAGAACAGAGCCCTGAGAAATAATGCCGCATATGTACAACCATCTGATCTTTGACAAACCTGACAAAAACAAGAAATGGGGAAGGGATTCCCTATTTAATAAATGGTGCTGGGAAAACTGGCTAGCCATATGTAGAAAGCTGAAACAGGATCCCTTCCTTACACCTTATGAAAAATAAATTTAAGAAGGATTAAAGACTTAAATGTTAGAGATAAGCTTTGTTTTTCATACTGCATATTGGAAACACAATTTTGGAGAATCTGTGATGGTACATTTGGGAGCTAACTGTGGCCTAAGGATGAAAACGGATATCCCCAGAAAAAAACTAGAAAGAATCTATTGGTGAAACTCCTTTGTGATGTGTGGATTCATCTCACAGAGTTAAACTTTCGTTTTGATTCAGCAGGTTGAAAACACTCTGGTTTACAAATCTGCAAAGGGACATTTCAGAGCCCATTGAGTCCTATGGGAAAAACGGAATATCCCCAGATGAAAAATGGAATCTGTCTGTGACACTGCTTTGTGATGTGTGAATTC